>NC_000010.11:86506731-86658246 GCF_000001405.40 Homo sapiens
GTGAGCAATGATCGCACCACTGCACTCCAGCCTGGGCAACAGAGAAAGACCTTGTTTCTAAAAAAAATTAAAAGGACACCTGGGGTTCATTCTTTCTACCACTTCTTTGCCCTACACTGGACTAAGGGTGCCTCTTTTCCTGCAGCCCTCCCTACTATTTCAGAGCAGGACAGTTTGGGGACACTGATATGCTGACTCTCCAGAGCCTCTTTATAAAATGATTACTCCTCCACCCTGTTATATAAGAGCCCCTTCTTGGCTTCTCTGATTTTCTTGTGTAAGACTAAACAAATAATAATAAAAAGACAACAAAAATAAGTAAGGAAAGATTTAAAAAAAAAAAAAAAAAGTAGTGGCCGGGCATGGTGGCTCACACCTGTAATCCCAGCACTTTGGGAGGCCGAGGCGGGCGGATCACCTGAGTTCAGGAGTCCAAGACCACCCTGGCCAATATAGTGAAACCCCGTCTCTACCAAAAATACAAAAATTAGCCAGGTGTGGTGACAGGCGCCTATAATCCCAGCTACTCGGGAGGATGAGGCAGGAGAATCGCTTGAACCCGGGAGGCAGAGGTTGCAGTCAGCCAAGACTGTGCCACTGCACTCCAGCCTGGGCGTCAGCGAGACTCTGTCTCAAAAAAAAAAAAAAAAAAAAAAAATTAAAGCCCCTTCTTTTAAGGCTTGTGCTAGTTACCCTCTAATCTTCCTAATACTTGTCATCCAACAACCTCTTATTCAACCTCTTATTCACTGTTCATGTATTTAAGGATTTTACACCATATTTATAATCTACTCCTCCATCCCAATTTTGCTATCACACTGAATTCCACCAAATTCCAACCCTCTGATTTCCCAGTTCTTTAACCTTATCTCATCATCAACAATCTTCCGCATTCCATCTCAGCCACCAGTTCTCAGTTGCATCCAGAAGCTTGCCGTATATCCTAAAATGCTTCACTTCATAAACATTAAAATCAGATAGCCCACTGTTTTTTTTTTTTTAATCACAACCTACCAACCATCCAACTTGCTTGTGCCAGTACTCCCATTCTTCATTTTTATTTAAGAAGATTCTCAGTATACTAACCCCTTTCTCCCCTTTCTCCTATTCATTAGCCCTGTCCGGGCACTCAGCATTTTAAATTCCACAGTCTATCTTCTCAATCTCTCTCTGGGCAATAACACCCTAAATTCCCTTGCTTCTCTATCTCTTCATTCCACATGCTGACTGACAAAATGTCTATTGAGGACAATTCTAATAATCTTATCCAATATTCTGTATTCTGTCCAGGTTCCAGATAATGGGGCCTACTAGAGGAGGAGGAAAAAAACATACACACTAGGTAGATTAGTGACCATGTGTTTTTAGTGACACCAACTTCAACTAAGGCCTCAATAATGTCCAGAAATTCTACTTTGTCTCTAGACAGCTCATTCTCCCACTTTAAGTAACATCTATCTGAACTCTTTCCTGCTCCCCCAAACCCCCCAAGTTACCCTGCCTTTCTTTGTCCCTTTCAGTAATAACCTCTTTGGTCATTTTATGGGATAAGGGAAAACACACTTTTAGCTATAAACCACCTTCTCTTATGTCCTCCCACTAAGCTCATCTTTTTACTCAACTTTCCTCCTTCCAGCCAAACATAGCACCCCTTCTTCCAAAACGGTTCTCTTGCGCTTTGGATCCCACGCATTAAACCATCTAGAATCCCTCACATCCCTCTAGCTGCCCTTTTTCTTCTCCTCCCCTTCGAACATCTTTAACAAGTTGTAAACACTTGTTACCCCCCATTTCCTCACCCCTTGGATCACTCCAGTCCAAGCTGCAAATCCAAGGTCTGCCTTGCAGTCCTCACTTAAGTTGATGGCAGCAGCATTCCGCGTCAGTCAATACTTTCTGAAATACTTTTACATTGGCTTCTATAATATATCACTTCTCTGGTTTCCCTTAAGCTGCTCTAGCTGCTCCTACTGAATTTCCTTTTCTAGTTTCTTCCTCTTCTCCCCCTCCATTAGTATTGAAAGTTCTTTTTTTTTTTTTTTTTTGAGACAGAGTCTCTGTCACCCAGGCTGGAGTGCAGTGGCGCGATCTCGGCTCACTGCAAGCTCCGCCTCCAGAGTTCACGCCATTCTCCTGCCTCAGCCTCTCCAAGTAACTGGGACTACAGGCGCCCGCCACCACGCCCGGCTAATTTTTTGTATTTTTAGTAGAGACAGGGTTTCACCGTGGTCTCGATCTCCTGACCTCGTGATCCGCCCGCCTCTGCCTCCCAAAGTGCTGGGATTACAGGCGTAAGCCACCGCGCCCGGCCAGTATTGGAAGTCCTTCACAGCACAGTCCTAATACTTTTTCCTCTTACACTCTCTTTAATGACTTCAACTAATCCTTTCTTTCCAGATAATATTTATATACTGAATTTCGAATTAATTGTCTCTAATCAAGGCTTCTTATCTCAGCTCCATTCCAGCAAATCTGCCACTGAAACATATCTTACAAACATCTCAAACCCAATGTACCCAAAACTGAACTCAAACTTTCTGTCAAAATGTTCCCTATCTCAGTAAATGACACTACCATCTGCTCAGCTGCTCACATTACATAGCTGGGAATAATTCCTGATGCCTCCTTCCTCATCACTCATGTCACCAAACTCTGCCACTTCTATCCTTTCTCAGTGCACCAACAGGTCCCAGGTTAAATATCAGCCTTGCCTACGTACCTGCACCCCTAGAACAAGCAAGTAAGCCCATAGAGTGCTACACTCCCGCACCACTCTATATATTTTTTCCTTTTCAGCACACTTGTGATTGTTTATTCTATCTTCCCCAGTACAATGCGAGAAATGCAAGTGAGTCCATCTTGTTCATGGACACTAAAATAATAGCTGGAAGGAGGCATCCCCGTAGACCTTCCTATGAACAAACTCATCCTCCTCTACCATCAGGGGTCTAGGAAAGTTGAGTACTACTTCCTAAAGGCACAAGTGCTGGAAAAGAAAAATTCATGAGGTATCATCTGGCTCGAAGCTCTTTGGTTTTTTTTTTTTTTTTTGAGACAGAGTCTCGCTCAGTCACCCAGGCTGGAGTGCAATGGCATGGTCTCAGCTCACTGCAACCTCCACCTCCCGGGTTCAAGCAATTCTCCTGCCTCAGGCTCCGGACTAGCTGGGACTACAGGCACCCGCCACCGTGCCTGGCTAATTTTTGTTATTTTTAGTAAAGACCGGGTTTTACCATGTTGGCCAGGCTGGTCTCGAACTGCTGACCTCGTGATCCGCCCGCCTCGGCCTTCCAAACCGAAGTGCTGGGATTACAGGCATCAGCCACTCCACCCGGCCTTTTTTTTTTTTTTTTTTTTTTTTGAGACAGAGTCTCGTTCTGTTGCCCAGGCTGGAGTGCAGTGGCATGATCTTGACTCACTGCAACCTCTGCCTACCGGGTTTAAGCGATTCTCCTGCCTCAGCCTCCTGAGTACCTGGGATTATAGGCACACGCCACCACGCCTGGCTAATTTTTGTATTTTTAGTAGAGACGGGATCTCACCATGTTGGTCAGGCTGGTTTCGAACTCCTGACCTCGTGATCCACCCGCCTTGCCTCCCAAAGTGTTGGGATTACAGGTGTGAGCCACCGCACCCGGCTGTCTGGCTTCAAGTTCTAAAAGCATAAAATACTTAGGGAAAATGCTCTGAAAAGCATAATGTATTATATAAAAGTGTTGTCATGTTAGAAGCTAGTTCTTTATCATGACCAGCAGAAGTCAGTAACTCTAAAGTACAGAGGCTATGTTTATAAATTTCATATTTTACCCCATAGCTGGTATTCAATCTGGATCTGAGAAGAAATTTGTTAGTGGTCTCCCATGCGTTTGTTAATATACAAACCTTGAGAATAATACTCCTTTTCCTCAGAAAATCTGAGTAAGAAACAAAAGTTCTGCTTTAGAACAAAATGAATTTACTTAAAATTATAATGCCTCTTTCATAATTTACATAATGTTGAATTTCCATTTATATACACATATGAAAATAAGTAGTAGAAAATATCTATAAAAATCAAGTCAAAAACTTTATTCGGTAAGTATTAAAAATAGTTTGGTCATCATTCTTGTTTTGTTTTGTTTTTGAGATGGTATCTTGCTGTGTCACCCAGGCTGTGACCCAATCATGGCTCGCTGCTGCCCTGAACTGCTGGGCTCAAGTGATCCTCAACTCAGTCTCCCAAGTAGCTGGAACTACGGGTGCACCCCAACACATCAGGCTAATTTTTTTTTTTTTTTGAAGAAATGGGATGTCACTATGTTGACCAGGCTGGTTTTGAACTCCTGGGCTCACGCCATCCTCCCACTTTGGCCTACCCAAGTGCTGGTATTAACAGGTGTGAGCCACCATGCCTGGCCCATCATTCTTATTAAAAAGAAAATTACTTAAGCCAGGTGGCATGCCTGTAATCCCAGCCTCTCAGAAGGCTGAGGCAGGAGGCTGAGGTGGGAGCACTGCATGAGCCCAGGAGTTTGAGGCCAGCCAGGGCAAGACAGCCAGATCCCACCTCTTTACAAAAATCACATCTTTAAAATTAAAAAAAGCAGAAAATTACTTGAACAGAGACAAGAGGGAATCCATAATTTGCCCCTTGCAAAATAACTTTATTTCCAACATCAAGATAAAACTGCTCTTACAGTGACAGTCTCTTCTAAATATACAGCTTTGAAGATGACAAAATTTATCTCATTCACATCAGAATACAACAGCACTGTATGAAAAGAACACTTTGGATGTTTCCCAGATCTTCCACTTAACAGTTCAAGTTATTCAACCTCTGAACTGTGCCTTACCCTCAATATAATGGAAATAAAGCCTCCCTTATACAGTTGTGATTAAGGATCAATTGATATGTAAAAGTAGGAATTTAAGAAATAACAGGGCCGGGCACAGTGGCTCATGCCTGTAATCCCAACACTTCGGGAGGTGGAGGCAGGAGGACTACTCAAGCCCAGGAGTTCAGGACCAGGCTGGGCATACTGAGACACGGTCTCTACAAAAAATATAGAAATTAGCCCAGTGTGGTGGTGAACCATTGTACTCCCAACTACTGGGGAGGCCGAGGAGGGAAGATGGCTTCAGCCCAGGAGGTAGAACCTGTGATAAGCCATGCACTCCAGCCTGGATGAGAGAGTAAGACCCTGTCTCCAAAAAATAAAAATAAAAATAAAAAAAGAAATAATAGGTCTTATCCACTTCTCTTAAAAAGAAGCTGATTTTCGGTATGATTTAAATATATTCTACACAACAAATACATTCAATAAATAAAGGCAGGTAACTCTTGCTGATACTATCCTTTCAGGACTTAAAAAATAATAATAATCCTCATATCATCTGTACTTTATCCAATGACAATCTCATCTCAGATCACAAGTTCCTGTCCTACTTTAAACTTTCAGTAATAAAACATTTCCCTTTCTAAAAAATCACCTTCAGTTCTAAATCCAAGTTCAAAATCTCCTGACAATACCATCCCTCTAACTTACACAAATACTCATTACAGCTTTAAGCAAATTAAAAAAATTTATTGGCTACAAAACCAGTCAGGCAAATTAAGAGCCTATGCTGTAGTTATCTCAATATTTGGCAGGATATGTAGACTGAATCCCAGCTGGCTGGCAAGAAAAGTGTGCCAAGCCGAAATATAAGTCTTTGCACACTTTATTCTAGAGTCCAGATTAAAAACCTGTAGCAGAACAAAGATGAGAAATGGAAGTAGCCTTGCATAAAAGGCAAGAGAAGCCTTCTTTTTGCCTCTACTACCGACGGCATTGATTCAAACCATTAAGGAATACCTGGAGATCTCTTAGAAGGGTGGACCTTTAGCTCCTGCTAACAGTCATTTTTAATTGGCACACCTGGCTGAGAACTGACTGGCTTTAATAGCAACTGCAATCAGAAATTTCTGTTTTCAAAATTAAAGATTAGATACAGAAGTATTTGCAGATAGAAACAGAAATCTTAAACTAGCTTTAAAATCCAGGGAGTAAAGGATGGGAAGTGGAGAGAGTAGCGTGCAAAACAGATGCAACAAGATCTGCCAGATACAACTATTGGAGGTGGACAATCAAGTACATGAGGTTTTTTTTTACCATTCTATTTTTGTGTGCCTGAAAAGTTTCATAATAAACGTTTTCTTCTTGTTTAAGGAACAGGACATTTTAGCAACACAACCCTTCCCTGCAGTACCTATTCAGTTTGTAATCTTGTTTCTGGTTCCCTTACCCACCAAGCATCTGTCTGGAAAATGGGAACTACTGTAGGTTTTGCGGGGTTTTTTTGTTTTTGTTTTTTGAGATGGAGTCTCGCTCTGTTGCCCAAGTTGGAGTGCAGTGGCACCACCTCGGCTCACTGCAACCTCTACCTCCCCGATTCAAGCAATTTCCGCTAATTTTTTTGTATTTTTAGTAGAGATGGGGGTTTCACTATGTTGGCCAGGCTGGTCTCGAACTCCTGACCTCAAGCGATTCACCCGCCTCGGCCTCCCAAAGTGCTGGATTACAGCCACTGTATGTTTTATAGTGACCTCATCCTAAGTTTCCTCTTCAAGTGAAACACAATTTATTTATTTACTTATTTATTGAGTTGGAGTCTTGCTCTGTCACCCAGGCTGGAGTGCGGTGGCATAATCTCAGCTCACTGCAACCTTCACCTCCGGGGTTCAAGCAGTTCCCGCCTCAGTGTCCTGAGTAGCTGGGATTACAGACATGCGCCACCACACCTGGTTAATTTTTGTATTTTTTTTAGTAAAGACGGGGTTTCACCATGTTGGTCAGGCTGGTCTCGAACTCCTGAACCTCCCCCAAAGTGCTGGGATGACAGGCATGAGCCGCCACACCCGCAACAAAATTTTTAAAAGTACTATCCGTTATAAAAGTACTTAAAGAATTTTAACAGTGTCAAAAAAATCAACCACATACTCCCCTATAGAGAAAGAGATGCACTTAAAAACGTAATGCCAGGACAAATGACATAATAATTCTGAGCCTGGATAAGCCCTTTTCACTGAGGTGATATAATTCTACAGCAAAAAAATAGTATGAACGAGAAGGACACTCAACACTCCACTGGAAAGATATGACGGAACTTCACCTGTGCACTTTGAATGAGTTGTTAAAATTTGCAACAGGTTTTTAAATAAAATGCCTAACCATGACCTGCAAAAGACTGCTAAGATTTCTGAGACCCAAGTAGGTACATGAATACTTGCATCTGGAGAAAAGAGTTCAAAACTTTATCATTCTCAGAAGGGTCCCTAAAGCAAAAAAGGTTAGGAACCACTTGAGATTTAGAGAGGCCTCTTTTATCAAAAATTTAGGTTTGGGTTTCTAAATTTCAATTAAAATTACAAGGTTTTCTGAGTGAGAGTAAAGGCAATGAAAATTGACAGACATAATGCAAGAAAACAGTCTAGGCACAAGAGAAATGACCAGTTTAGAGGGGAGAGACAAAGGAAAAGTCACAAAGTACAAAAGCATCCCCACAACTATAACAAACTTACAAACATACAAACTTACAAATGGTTTATAAGAACAACTAACTTGCACACATTAGAGACAGGATAAGTCTACCATGAAAATTAAATGCACTCCCTCAAATTCACTTCTTATCCTACAGGGAGCTGCCAAGGTTGTTGCAACTCTGGATGACCAAGGGAGAGGAGAAAAAAAGAAATATTCATAGTGCTACACCATTCCCTGACCACTAAGAGACCCTTTGTGAAGGAGGAAGGAAGATGGACAAGATGTTCCTGAACATCTATTTACCTGTATTTTAGTATGTATTTTCCCCTCACAGACCAATTAAAATGGAGTTTGGACTCAGAGTCAGTCCACAGTATCAGCATTAGAACTACATTTTAGCTACATAGACTGGGAAGCAATTATCCCACTTAGCTGGTTGGTCTCACCAACCAACTTCCAACAACAGATTTAACATAAAGATATATTGTCCGCAAAGCTACAGAAACAATTACTTATGAATAACTTCCACATTCCTTTTCCCCCTTACCTAAACGTTCAACTTTATTAATACACTCTGCCATCAGGGCCCCTGCCTGCCAATGATGCCCCATTCCTCAAAAGACCATACACTTAAGGAAGATGGAGTCAGCCCTGAGCACTTTCACCACTTGCACAGTTTAATCTTACTTCCTCCGGCCCACCCACCCCACACTGTAGATTATCTGAAAACATCAAGAAATGTCAGGCTGGGCACAGTGGCTCACGCCTATATTCCCAGCACTTGGGGAGGCCAAGGCGGGTGGATCACATGAGGTCAGGAGTTCTAGACCAGCCGGGCCAACATGGTGAAACGCCGTCTCTACTAAAAATACAAAAATTAGCAGGGCATGGTGGCAGGTGCCTAAAATCCCAGCTACTCGGGGGGACTGGGGCAGGAGAATTGCTTGAACCCGAGAGGCGGAGGTTGCAGTGAGCCAAGATAGCGCCATCGCACTCCAGCCTGGGGGGACAAGAGCGAGACTTCATCTCAAAAAAAAAAAAGAAAAAAAAGAAATGTCAGTTGGAACAACAAACACAAGCAGAATAGCATTCGCAGAGCCTTGTACAGTGGTTTGACGGACAGTAGGTGCTCAATATGTTGATAATAAACGAATCTCATTCCAGTTCTGCCACTAGCTGACCTTGGACAGTCATTTAACCTCTTTGAGCTTCTTATATAAAATGAGAGCTGAGTTAAAATTCATTTTAGTTCAAAAAAAGTTTGATGGGCCAGAAGCGATGGCTCACGCTTGCAATCCCAGCACTTTGGGAGGCCTAGATAGGCAGATCACTTGAGGTCAGGAGTTTGAGACTAGCCTGGCCAACACGGTGAAAACCTGTCCCTACAAAAATACAAAAATTACCTGGGCATGATGGCAGGTGCCTATAATCCCAGCTACTGGGGAGGCTGAGGTGGGAGAATCACTTGAATCCGGGAAGCGGAGGTTGCAGTGAGGCAAGACTGCGCCACTGTACTACAGCCTGGGCAACACAGCGAGACTGTGTCTCAAAAAAAAAAGTTTGATGATTTTAATATACATTTATACATTTTTAGGAGCTGACCTGGAAACAGTTTTTATGCTGTCTATGCCTTTTTTTTTTTTTTTTTTTGAGATGGCATCTTGCTTTGTTGCCCAGGCTGGAGTGCAGTGGTGCGATCTCGGCTCACTGCAACCTCTGTCTCCTGGGTTCAAGTGATTCTCCTGCCTCAACCTCCGTAGTAGGTGGGATTTAGAGGCACCCGCCACCATGCCCAGCTAATTTTTTGTATTTTTAATAGAGATGGGGTTTCACCATGTTGGCCAGGCTGGTCTTGAACTCCTGACCTCAGGTGATCCAACTGCCTTGGCCTCCCAAAGTGCTGGGATTACAGGCATGAGCCACTGCACAGGTCCTTTACGCTGTTTTTTAATGGAAATTTAACCTAAACTTAACTTGTCAACAACGCCTGAGGAGAAATGTGGGCAAAGCAGGAAGGACAGCCAAATTAGAATTAACCCTGAGGATCAAGGGAATGACAATAACAGCTGGCTCATCGTCTCATCCAAGAGTGAGAAAAAGAGTGAAAAAATGCTCAACATTTTTAGTAAAACTATGCAAGGCCCAGTACATTGTACTGTTTCACATACCTTAACCTTCAAAGGACAAATTTGCCTTAAGAATTCAGTACAGCCAAGTTTTGTCTGTGTTTACTTCCTTTCAAAATAGGAGATTTTTATAACCTCTCATTATTGCTAAACTTTGCCAAGACGTCAAGAACTAAGGTTTCTTTTCAATTACAGTATACTGCCACCCTTATCCTAATGCTGATAGAGTGCTCCCACTTCTCCACCCCACCTCTTCCCTGCCACCCTCAATATTAGCTCTTCAGTCTTTTAATTAATTGCACCTTTTTCACTTATTATAAATCTCAAATCCCTTACAGAAGACAGAACAAAATATATCGTTTTAGGAGAGAATACTAGATGCTATATTTACAAATTAACATTTTTAAAATACAACCAGTTTTGTGGTTTAAAATCTATCAACACAGCCGGGCACGGTGGCTCATGCCTGTAATCCCAGCACTTTGGGAGGTGAGGCGGGCAGATCACGAGGTCAGGAGATGGAGACCATCCTGGCTAACACAGTGAAACCCTGTCTCTACTAAAAATACAAAAATTAGCCAGGCGTGGTGGCGGGCGCCTGTAGTCCCAGCTACTCGGGAGGCTGAGGCAGGAAAATGGCATGAACCTGGGAGGCGGAGCCAGCATGGGCGACAGCGAGACTCCTTCTCAAAAAAAAAAATCTATCAATACAAGTTGATACTGGCCCCAAACTAATCTCAATTTGGAATCAAGTTCAATTCTTTAAATGTCTCCACTCAATACCCCCTTAATCTTTCTGAACTAGTTTTGGCAGAGAGTCTACCATTGGTAACTAATCCTCATTTTAAATACTCATCTCATTTTCATTATCAATAACCATCCAAATCCTCCACAGTAATAGAAATGAGATACTTTGTGATCCTAACACAACAAAAAGAGATATTTCTTATTGGAATTGGGGTTATAAACTTATGACTGTTCCCAAAACGTACCCTGCGCAACAGTCTATAAATGTTAACATCCAAGTTGTTTATTTCAACCTCCAACTGGTTTCTTTAAAGTTCTTAAATGTCTTTTACAAAACTATCAATGGTCCCCATGTATCATAAGTGCAGAAAGAAAACACAATATATATTTTAGAATTTAAATCATTTAAATAAATTGGTTGCACAAAGCTCTCTTGGCGGAGAATAAAGAAAATCAAAACTTACCTGAAGTTATTAATTTATTACAGCTACTTATGCTTGCATCATCTTCTACAATTCGGTTTGTGCTCTTTTCTTTCCCAAGTAAAGTGTCCTCCAAAGGGAAGCATTTATCAGAAACGACAGTGTCTTCAACGACCACATGACTAATTTTGCTATTAGCTTCAAGTACTGAAGTGACCTCTTCCAACTGAGCAGCTTCACTAGATTCTGAATAAGAGGAACACTTAACCTGGGCTAAATTCTTTGAAGAAACTGGTAGAGACTCATCATCACTATCAAATCCAAAAGGATCTCCAGTACTTTCTTCTTCCACTTTAGGTTTCTTCGGAATTTCTTGGATATCTGGTTTGAAATTGGGCCTCTTCTGCCCTAATTTAGCCATAAATGTGGTCTCTCCCCATTTTGTGCTAAGGGTAGTCCGTTTGTTGGAAAAGACTTCATCGAATTTTGAACTGCCATTTCCACCTTTCCTACTGTATGTTTTCCCAAATCTGGATGTCATTTTGACACCAGTTTCATATTCTCTGTGAAAAAAAATTTAAGAAAACATATAATCATCAAATACAAGTGTTAAACAGTGCATATAAAAATAAAAACCTAGGGATTCTTCCCTCATGACTTTTGACACTCACCACACAGACTTTTAAATAAACAAATATGAGGAAGGGGTATAAAGAAAGGCTGATTTATTACCCTACATGCTTCCATGTCAATTTTCCTCCACAATGAGTACATATTCCTACGCTACTTACAAAGTAAAAAAACTTAATGATTAACCAACTTATAATACGATATCCATAAAGCTAACTTAAAATGAAGCATATTAAGTTCCAAATGAATTAATTTACTATTCTTATAAACATCATTTTTACCTTAAAAAATTATCTGTATAGAGGCTGGGAGGCCGAGGCAGGCAGCTCACTTGAGGCCAGGAGTTTGAGACCAGCCTGCCCAACACGGTGAAACCCCATCTCTACTAAAAATACAAAAATTAGCTGGGAGTGGTGGCACGCACCTGTAATCCCAGCTACTTGAGAAGCTGGAGCAGAAGAACCGCTTGAACTCAGGAGATGGAGGTTGCAGTGATATAATGATAACCTGTATAGGGTAATTACTTATATAAAATCTTAAGCACAGAATGTTAGTTTTTTTCAGGGCCTCAGAAATATCCAATACTTGATTAAATTTAGTTCTTTGAAATTTCATGGCACTAATTCACATGAGAAAAAAGGTCCCCAAAATGGTGCTTTTTCTCATGTTTTACAACCTGCAGCTTTTAACCCAATCTTGAAGATTCTGCTTCTTGGTGTAATGTAATTTGCGCTGTGACTTTAAAAATGTTCCTTAGATGGTCATCTCCCTAGGGAAAGAAACTATCCTTATCCTATCTGCCTTGTCCCGATAGTGCTGTGCTCATTTGCTGAGTTATATTTTCTGGGGCTAGTGAGCTCCAGCATATTACACTGTTTCATGGATTAATACAGACATAGAAACATACAACTTTTATTTTCCTTTTCAATTTATAAATGGCAAATCGATTCACCTGATTTATCTACTTCACAGGACAAAAAAAAAAATCTTTAGGGCAGTAAATCAAGAGTCAAACATTTTTTAAAACAAGTTACTTGCATTAGTTCTGTGCCTATTAAAAAGTTATAGTACTTTTTAAACATGATCAATCAGTAACCGTTTGTCTAACACTTTGACCTTTCTACAGTTCAAACATGAATACATCGAATATAACTTTAAAAAGTGAACAAGGGCCTAAGGAATGAAAAATCATTACTTTGAAAGCTACAAGAATTGAAATTATATTTGACCTATACTTTTGAATATGTTTTGATCTACACTTGTTTTCCCTTGATTAACTTAAATTCTTACCATTTATAATGAGTCACTGTCTGAGTTTTATATAAATTCAGTAGTAGACCCCCCCCCATGTTTGGTGAGAACCCAATTTTAATTTGACAAGGTAATAATTTAGTCATCATACATATCTGCGTTAAGAGAAAACAGTGTTCCTGAAGGAGATGTATTTCATCTTCCACTGCAGCTCTAACACTAACAAGTCTTACTGTCTTTCTTGTTAAGTACAGCCTAAACAAAACAGGATACTGGGCAACTACCACGGACAACAAAATAAAAATCGATTCTCTGTTCCTTCAAGAATGTAAAGCTGAGATCCTGCAGGTCTGTAAGTGTACGTACACATACACACCAACAAAGATGGAATGTTTTGGATTCACTTATGTGCTAATCATCTAAAAATACTAACCAAAGGCCAAACCAAAAATCTAGACTTGAGTTCCTTTATGCCAACATCAGAAAAACTGTTAAAATGGTTCTATAACCACAAAGCATTCACTGTTGAAAGTTTGAAGTCTTCAGATGAATACCTGACACTAAGGACTTAATTATTTTATGTGATAAAAAATAATTTTGTGCTGGCTGGGGGCGGCAGGTCACGCCTGTAATTCCAGCACTCTGGGAAGCCAAGACGGGCAGATCACCTGAGGCCAGGAGTTCGAGACCAGCCTGACCAACATGGAGAAACCACGTTTCTACTAAAAATAGAAAATTAGCCGGGCGTGGTGGCGCATGCCTGTAATCCCAGCTACTCCGGAGGCTGGGGCAGGAGAATCAATTGAACCTGGGAGGCGGAGGTTGCGGTGAGCTGAGATCGCGCCACTGCACTCCAGCCTGGGCAACAAGGGCGAAACTCCGTCTCAAAATAATAATAATAATGATAATAATAATTTTGTGCCAAAAGACCACGTCTTTTACAAATACATAGTGAAATACTGATGAAATAACGTCAGCGATTTTCCAACATTAAGGAATGAGAAGTGTATAGATGAAATAAATTTGTTTAATAGTCACTGCTAAATCCAAGCGATGGGTACAGAGAAGTTCATTATATAATATCTCCTCCTGATTGCCTTTATCGTTTCCCACAATAAAATGTCTTTGCAATGGCATTATCTAAGCGTAAAGCACTACAGATTCCAAAATAAGTGTGCAGACGTCCTTGAAGTTAAATTTTAAGTGTTTCAAGTACACAATCTTGCTCAACCTTTAAACTCCAAAGACTGTCCTAACTAAAAAGGAAAGAATGATTGACGACTAAGTCTTTTCGGTCGTTCGGCTTTTGCCCTAGCCCAAAATCAGGTCGAATTTTGAGAGAAGTGCGCTGTGATTTAAAAAAAAAAAAAAAAAAAAAAAAGCAAAAAGCCTTTATACTTCACTCCCACCCTAATCTAGCGTCTTCCCGATCCCCAAAGGCTTTAAGGGCTTCCATTAAAGATGGAAAGCGGACGGGACGAACCTGACTAACCAGAAATCCTCACCTGGGGACAGCCGGGGCGCCACGGGCAGTGGGCGCGATGGACCCCTCGGACTAGACACTCAATGCAACTTTTCTCCTCCCAACCCGCGCCGCCCAGGAAAGGGAGGTCACTTTCGACGCCCCGGAAGCCTCTGCCACCGAATCCTTAAGGCAGTGCAAGGCCCCAGTGGCGGCCAGAGGCGGATGAAACCACGGGAAAGGACTCGGGGCTGAAATCAACACACTTGACTGGGTTTGGGGAGCTAAGTCAATCAGCAGTCGCCCGAAAAAGAACTCCGAAAAAGGAAAATAAAAGGGGAAAAAAAGAGTTCCTCAGGTCATTCCCCTGCCCAACTTCCTCAGCGGCCCGGTGGGCGAGGCAGTGAGACTTCCACCGCCCGCTCCCAGCCTCTGCCTCCCCCACCCTCCCGGCTCCCTCCCGGCCTAGGCGGCCGCCCGACACCTCACTTACCCTCGGAGCCTGGCGGGTGCTTTGGCCACGGGCCGCCTCCGCCTCTCCCGCTCCCTACGGCCCGCGGGCGGGCGCGGAACCCTCGCGCGGGAGAGCAGGGCCGGCAGGTGAGAGCCGAGAGAGGCGAGGGACTCTGCTTTCGGTAAATAGGAAGCCCGGTTGGGGGGGCAGGAGCGGCGGCCCCGCAACTTCCCTCCCCGCCTCGAGCGCCGCCGGCCGGGCCCAGGCCTAGCTCTCGCTGGCCGCCACTGCTGGAGCTGGTAACAGAGCCTGCTGTGTGCCCCCGCTGGGCCGCCGCCGCCTCCTGCGCCGCCGCTTCCGCCGGTGAATGGTCAGTGCTGGAGTTTGAACAGGGCCCTGAACCATCTCAACGCCATTTGCGCTCCCGGCCCCCACCTCCTTCCTCCAACAGCCGCTCGCTCCGTCACTCCGCTTCCCACAGTCCCCGCGCGGCCGCCCGACCCCGCAGCCAATCGCGCAGCCGCTTACTCAAACCGCCGCGCAGGCGCTGCGCCCCGCATGCTCCGGCGCCCGCCATTGGCCCGGCCGCGGAGCCCGACGGGAGTTGTAGTCCAGGTCCGCGAGGTCGCGGGCCGAGGACCAGGCGCGGGAGCGGGAGCGGGCGACTGGCCGGGCCCTCCCGGTCTCGGCAGCCACTTCTAGCTCCCGGCCCAGCCGGGAGACGCAGGTGCCACGGAGATGGGCAGCCGGGCGGGTGGCGCAGTGCAGGCAGCTGTATCAATCGCTTCCCCTCCAGGGACCCGCCGGTGCCTGGGGACCGCGGGCTGTGCAGCTGTGCCGGGCCTGCGGAGGCCGCCGCCCGGGAGCTGGGAGGCAGGGGGCGCGTGGTCAAGAGCCGCCCTCGACCTGGCCTGGTCGGTCCTGGCCCGGCGTAGGTGACGATGGCGGGGACCGCGAGGCGCCGGACACCCGAGGCCACGAGCAGCGTCGCCCCTCGCTTTTTCGCGCCCCTCCAGCCCTGCAGTCCTTCCTCTAAGTCCGTCTGCCCCTCACCGATTGAAAGTGGCCCCGAGAATATTGGATGGTATTGAGCAATTATCATTAACTTTGTTGGGTGTGGTAACGGTAATGTGGTTATGGTTTTTTGTTTTTTTTTTTTTAAGACCTACTGATGTGTTGACAGAGTGATCTGGTGTCAGGACTGTAAAATACGCCTATGAAAACTGGGGGAGAGGAATAAAACAAGCTGGCAGAACGTTTTTCATCGTTGAAGCTGCGTGATGCGAGCATATGTGCTCATCATACAGTCTCTTTACTTGTGTATCTGAAATTTTCCATAATAAAAAGTTTAAAGAAGTGAACCAGCGATTGCCTCTAGGGAGGACAGTGAGGTGGCGGATGACGGGAGGAAGGAGTCTTAATTTTTCGCTGTACGCCTTTTTGTGCTATCTTAGGTTTTTCCCATTCAATGTGTTACCTAATTCAGAAAATTGGTAAGTTTTTTTTAAGGCTACCATGGGAAAACAGCGTTCTAAAGAGTAGCGCAACCAGTTCCCCCTAAGAGAGGTGCATGATTCGTCGGACTCCGACAGCCTTGGTGTTTGTTAGGCGGTTAATGGAGACCCACCTGGGAAATTAGAAAACTACTAATTGCTTTCAGTGAGAAGCCCGCCCTTCTCCCACAAATGGATAATTTGCTTTTAATGCACCCAGAAGTTATCCAGCTCCCTCCGGTATAATCGGGGAAACTCCAAATAAAGGAAAAATAGTTCAGAGACCCTGCAGCTCTTCCCAAGAGGAATTTAAGGTGGATTTTAGTGTGGTTGGATTGTTTTGCCTACCTGACTGCAGAATTTATATTCTGACATTTACAATTTCCTAAATACTGAATCAGTACTTTTTCTTGTTTCAAAATAAATCAACTTCTTCTGTAGTTTATATGAAAAACAAGTCCATGTCTTCCACTGTGGGTGGGATGCACATGACTGTTTTATTTGGGTCAGTTTTGTCTCTTTTTTTAATTGGCAGTTTAGGAACTTGTTTTTATCATTTTGTTTAAAGATCTTCTGGCAGAGGTGCAGGCTGCACTTACTATAATTATTTAGATGACAAGGTGGTGGGTGGTAATTAAAGGGTAATTATCATCAGAGGCAAAAGGTAAGATCAAAAAACCAGAAGAGGTGAGGAAACAATTGCAAGATCTTCCTGTAGGAGGGTGTCGTGATCCTCCCAAGACCAAAGGATATGTCTATTATGCCTGGCCTCTCTAGTGCTGGACACTTGGCAGGGTCAGTGCCTGCATGAGGCTGAAGTGGAAGGGCTTATTGTTTAGACTGGTGCCTTTTGAGGGCTTTTATGTGATGGTTGTGTTAAGTAATGAAACTTAGTAGTGTCAAATTCTTGCCACTCAAAGAATGATCCCCAATCAGCAGTGTAGCATCACCTGGAAGCCTGTAAGGAACGCATAATTCCTATCCCTCACCCCAGCTCCACTGAATCAGAACCTGCATTTTAACAGGATTCCCCCAGCTGATTGGGCTGCACATTAAAGTTTGACAAGCACTGATTTAAAGTATACCCATAGCATTTGACAGCAATCTAGTATTTTTCGTTAGGATGAGGGAGAGGAAGGGAGATGATTAAGAACCTCCTATGCATCAGGTAAGATGCTAGGCTGTTCAGGGGCCTTGTCTGCTTCCCAGTCCATTACTCTATCTTACAAGTAAGGAAATGGGAAGACTTGTATGTTACAACTAATGAGGGAGTCAAACTTTTTCTTGACGGTTGGATACCCTTTAGTACTTCTTGGTGTTCTTGAATCTGGTAGAAAGTGGTACATGATTTGAGAAGTAAAGTGTGTGTGAGTGTGTGTGTGTGTGTGTGTGTGTGTGTGTATTTAGTCTGTGGAAGCTTAGTATATGAATATTAAGCAGAGCTCTTCTGGGCTCTGTACCCTTGTGTGGCTCACACTAAAGACACCCCTCGGGCCCCTCCTGGAGGGAGTTCAGACTCCTGGCCCTGCAGGCTGTACCACCACCTTAACCCCTTACCTCCCTGCTTCCACTGAGGCAAGCAAATGCCCTGAAGTCCCCTCATTCCCTTACCAGGGCCCTGGGTTCCACACCAGAATGAGCAAACAGAACTCCAGTGTGGGTAACACATGGCTGAACAGCTTTTTGTTGTATTGTTTTTGTTTTCTTAGTTCTCTCAGCTCAGGCTCCATCCCCCTGGCCACCTCAACCCCTAGAATGGTTGTCTCCATTTCATGAGAATCTTCACACTAACATCAAGTAGCCAGTAGGTGCTTTTGGTTTTGCTAGAATGCCTGTGTGCAAGCTCTCAGATACCTGATTTTCTTTCCCCCACTGAATGTTGTGTTTGTCAGAAACTGAAATCATGGATCAGAGCCAAGTTTGTAGTACCCTTAGGAGGGGCCTCTGCCCTCCTGTGTGCTGCCTGGGTGAGGACAGAACCCCCTAACCTGGAGCTCCACTTGAGTGGGCCCATACCTGTACTTTCCTCTGAAAAAAGAAAATCCTGCAAAGAAAATAGAAGACATCTGTTCTGCCATTGCCATGCCCTTGTTCTAGCCCAGACATGAGAACTGTCAGAATTGGAGTTACTAAATAGAACTTTTAGTCTTTTTCTGATAATGTGTAGTAAAGTGTATTACAACTTATAGAATTCTATTTAGGGAACTACAGGTCAGAAACTACCATATTGGTAGCAGTCAATTTTTCTTTGCCATCGGATGTGGAATAAAATGTTAAATTGTACACTTGCATGTTGTGGTTATATTACAAAGCTCTACGAGATGTGGGCCAGGCCCTGCCCTTTGCTCATGCAGCCCCAACTTTCTGCTCTGCCCACACCTGACTCCTTGCTGTTTCCCCACCTTAGGGCCTTTGTATTTCCTATTCCCTCTGCCTACAACTCCCCCAGATACCAGCCTGCTTCAATTCTCTCCTCTAGGTTTTCACTCAGATGGGACTTTTCAATGAATCTCCCCTGACCAACCTATCTTAAATTGTTGCAACATCCTCACTCCTAAATGTCACTGTCCCTGCTTTACTTTCTTTAAGGGCATTTATCTTCCCATCTAACATATCAGGCATTTTGCATGTTTATCTTAAATGTTGTGCTCCCTCTGAAGGCAGGGATCTCTGCCTGTCTTGTTTTCTGCTGCAACCCTAGCACCTAGAAGACTGCCTGGCACAAGAGTAGGTGCTCAATAAATATTTGTTGAATAAAAGCACCCATTTATTTCCTTCTTTCATGTAAAATTATATACATATATTATATATATATATATATATATTTTTTTTTTTTTTTTTTTAGACGGAGTCTCGCTCTGTCACCAGGCTGGAGTGCAGTGGCGCGATCTCGGCTCACTGCAATCTCTGCCTCCCTGGTTCAAGCGATTCCCCTGCCTCAGCCTCCCCAGTAGCTGGGACTACAGGCGCACACCACCACACCCAGCTCATTTTTTGTATTTTAGTAGAGATGGTGTTTTGCATGTTGGCCAGGATGGTTTCGATCTCTTGACCTTGTGATCCGCCTGGCTCAGCCTCCCAAAGTGCTGGGATTACAGGTGTGAGCTACCATGCCTGGCCACATTTTTTTTTTTTTTTTTTTTTTTTTTTTTTGGTGACAGAGTCTTGCTCTGTCGCCCAGGCTGGAATGTAGTGGCACGATCTCCAATCACTGCAACCTCCACCTCCAGGGTTCAAGCCATCCTCCCACCTCAGCCTCCCAAGTAGCTGGGACTACATGTCCATGCTATCATGCCCCACTAATTTTTGTATTTTTGGTAGAGATAGGGTTTCACCTTGTTGCCCAGGCTGGTCTTGAACTTCTGGGCTCAAGCCATCCACCTACCTTGGCCTCCCAAAGTGCTGGAATTACAGGCATGAGCCACTGCCCCTGCCTATATCTTGAAAGGAAAGTGATAAAACTATCAACAGTTTCACATAACCTGGTAGCTCTAATAAAATGTTAACTGGGTTTTCACAATTGGGAGGGGAGTGCTTTCTGGAGAACTTTTGTTCTTGCCTTGGATAGGTTTTCATTCTGAGAATTGAGAAAATGAGTACTGTTATAATCCCAATTATCATATTTCCCAGGATAATTGGAATATGTTCTCTGGAGATAGTGACGTCCTCTGGGGAATACACTGCTGTCTAGGTAGATGAAACACAAAGCAAAGGAAATTCTCTAGGAGCACATTGCCTGACAAGGACCGGTACAAGCAACCTCGAAGAAGTCTGGCTTCCTGACCCTTGTCCTGGAAACAGCCCTTTTTTATTCAGGATCCTCACCCTTAATACTGTATGATACCCGCCTAGTCAAACACCCTGAAGGGTCCTCCTGTAATACTAAAATCCAAAGTTCTTAACGGTGAAAAGGCCCTGCATGATCTGGCCCCTGAGTACTCCTATCCCTTCCTACCTTGCCGGGCCTGCCTCTGTCTACTACTAGAACATGCCAAGCCAGCTCCTGCCTGTGGGCCCTCTTCGTACTTGTTCCCTCTGTTAGTCCTCAAGAGACACACACAACTCATTCCCTGCATGCTTTCAGGTCTTTGCTCAAGTGTGTCTCTCAGTAATGTTTTCCTTGGCCATGCTATTTAAGGTCATCCAGCACCCTGTATCTCCTTTTCCCTGCTGCTTTTCTCCATAACATAGTCATTACGTTTGCTTTGTGTATGAACTTGTTTATTATCTATTTCGTTTCACAAGAATATAAACTCCATGAGGACGAGGATGGCTGACTTTTGTTCATTTTATATGCCAAGCACACCTAGAATAGTGCCTCACACACAGAAAGTGTGCTATAAATATTTGTTGACTGAATACCTGGATTAATTGAAGCTTTAAATTGTGTTCAGCGGCCAGGCACGGTGGCTCACGCCTGTAATCCTAGCACTTTGAGAGGCCGAGGCAGGCGGATCATGAGGTCAGGAGATCGAGACCATCCTGGCTAACACGGTGAAACCCCGTCTCTACTAAAAATACAAAAAAATTATCTGGGCGTGGTGGCGGGCACCTGTAGTCCCAGCTACTCAGGAGGCTGAGGCAAGAGTATGGCATGAACCCAGGAGGCGGAGCTTGCAGTGAGCTGAGATCACACCACTGGACTCCAGCCTGGACGACAGAGCGAGACGCCGTCTCAAAAAAAAAAAAAAAATTATGTTCAGCTTACACTTGTAATCTCAGCGCTTTGGGAGGCCAAAGCAGGTGGATCATCTGAGGTCAGGAGTTCGAGACCAGACTGGCCAACATGATGAAACCCCATCTCTACTAAAAATACAAAAATTAGCCAGCCGGGTGGCAGGTACCTGTAATCCCAGCTACTTGGGAGGCTGAGGCAGGAGGATCACTTGAACCCAGGAGGTGGAGGTTGCAGTGAGCCAAGATCACACCATTGCACTCCAGTCTGGGCAACAAGAGCAAAACTTTTTCTCAAAAATACTAATAAGTTATGTTCAACTCTTCTATATCTTTAATAATTTCTTTTGTCTGCTTGACCTATAATGGCAAAACATGCATGAAAACCTCCCACTATAAGAGTAATCTTTTTCATTTCTCCCTGTAGTTCTATTTTTCTTTCTGCATTTTGAGGCTATTTTATTGGGCACATACTGTACAAGTTAGAATTGCTATCTCTTCCTGGTAGAATTGAAAGCTTTTAAAGTAATATGGGAGATAAATTGCAAAAATTGCCTGAATTTTCCACTCACTCCTCCCTGTAGCCACACCTTTTGCAATGTGACTTGGCAGCTCCTCCCAGAATCTCAGCTGGATTTTAACTCACCTTGGCCTAAAGAAAATGACAGAAGTGATAAAGTCCTCAGCCTGAGCCTTAAGAAACCTTAAACGCTTCCACATTCTCTTTGGGATCCCTGCTTCTGCCATGAGAACAGGGCTGGGCTAGTTTGATGGAAGATGAGAAGCCACATGGAAAAGAGCTGAAGTCTTCCCTGACCTGTGAATAGCCAGCAGACCCCAAACATGTAAGCCCAGCCAGGAGCAGCATGGCCACCCACCTGACCTGCAGCCACCCAAAGATGTAGATGTGAGCGCACCTGGGACTAGAACTGTCCTGATGACCTGTAGGCCCATGAGTAATAATAGCTACTTATTATATTAAGCTTCTGAATTTTAGAGTGATTTGTTATACAGCATTGTGACAATAGATAATTGATAACAACTAGTGATTTTCCCGTTGATAATGCCTCCTTTTTTGGGGTCTCAGCCTCCAAAAGGCTTTCCTGACTACCTAGGCAATCTGAAGCAGCTTCTCAGTCTCTATCATAACACTGGTGTATTATTAACACCAGTCTCCCAAATTATCTCTCTTTTTTTTTTTTTTTTTTTTTCAGATAAGGTGTCCCTCTGTCACCTAGGCTGGAGTGCAGTGGTGCACACACACACGGCTCACTGCAGCCTTGCCCTCCCAGGCTCAGCCTCCTGAGTAACTGGGACTACAGGCAAGAGTGACGCCCAGGGAAACATTCAAAAAATGAATTTTTTTTTTGTTTTTTAGAGATGGGGTCTCACTACATTGCCCAGGCTGGTCTTGAACTCCTGGCCTCAAGCAATCCTCTCACCTGGGCCTCCCAAAGTGCTGGAATTGCAGTTGTGAGCCACCACACCCAGCCTGCTTACTTTTGTTTGTTTGTCTGTTTGTTTGTTGTTTGTTTTTGAGACAGGGTCTCTGTTGCCCAGACTGGAGTGCAGTGGCACAATCTCGGCTCACTGCAACCTCTGCTTCCCAGGCTCAAGTGATTCTCCTGCCTTAGTCTCCTGAGTAGCTGGGATTACAGGCATGTGCCACTACCACCCGGCTAATTTTTCTATTTTTAGTAGAGACGGTTTCACCACGTTGGCCAGGCTGGTCTTGAACTCCTGACTTCAAATGATCCACTGCCTCGGTCCCCCAAAGTGCTGGGATTACAGGCGTGAGCCACCACGCCCGGCCGCCCAGCCTAGTTCTTTATTATCTGTCTTCCATGTTAGAATGTCAACTGTGTAAAGGCAGAGACCTTGTCTGTTCTGCTCTCTGCTGTATGCTCAGCACCCAGAACAGGCTGCACAGTCCAGTGTGGTAGCCATGAGCTGTGTGTTCACTGAGCACTTGAAATATAGCTAGTCCAAGTTAAGAAGTGCTGACAATGTAGAACACACACTGGATTTCAAAGGCTTCCTACAAAAAAAGAAAATAAAATATCTCGATACTTTTTACACTGATTAAATGTTGAAATGATTTTTTTATATCAAGTTAAATAGAATATGTTATTAAAGTTAATATCACCTGTTTCTTTTTACCTTTATTTAATGTGGGTACTAGAAAAAATTAAGTTACCTTTGTGGCTTGCCTTATATTTATATTGGCAGCACTGATATCAAAGCTCAGTAGCTGGGCGCAGTGGCTTATGCCTGTAATCCCAGCACTTTGGGAGTCCGAGGCAGGGTGGGTGGCTTGAGCCCATGAGTTCAAGACCAGCCTGGGCAACATGGTGAGACCCTGTCTCTACAAAAACTACAAAAATTAGCCAGGTGTGTTGGCACATGCCTGTAGTCTCAGCTACTCAGGAGGCTGAGGTGGGAAGGTCGCTTGAGCCTAGGAGATTGAGGCTGCAATGAGCCGTGATTGTGCCACTGCATTCTAGCCCAGGTGACAGAGCAAGCCCCTGTCTCAAAAAAAAAAAAAAAAAAGCTGGGTAAATATTTGTTAAAGAAAAATATTAAAAATGAATTTACCAAAAGAAATGAGCTGTCAGGCTGTGAAAAGATATGGAATCTTAAATGTATATTGCTGAGTGAAAAAAGCCAGTCTAAAAAGACTACATACTATATGATTCTAACTACTGTATATGATGTCTGGAAAAGGCAAAACGATGGAGAGAGTAAAAAGATCAGTGGTTGCTAGGGGTTCAGGAGGAGGGGAGAAGAGAGATGGATACCTGAAGCACAGGGGACTTGTGGAGTGGTGAAAGAATTCTGTAACACTCCAGGCACACTGGCTCATGCCTGTAATCCCAGCACTTTGGGAAGCCGAAGTGGGCGGATCACCTGAGGTCAGGAGTTCAAGACCAGCCTGGCCAACATAGTGAAACTCTGTCTCTGCTAAAAATACAAAAATTAGGCATGGTGGTGCATACCTGTAATCCCAGCTACTTGGGAGGCTGAGGCAGGAGAATTGCTTGAATCTGGGAGTTGGAGGTTGCAGTTAGCTGAGATCACACTACTGCATTCCAGCCTGGGCAACAGAGTGAGACTCTATCTCAAATTAAAAAAAAATAGCTGTAATACTGAATCAGTGGATATATGACATTATAAATTTGTCAAAACCCATAGAACTATACAACACAAAGAATGAATTCTGATGTAAATTAAGTTAATGATGTATCAATATTTTAACAAATATACCACACTAATGCAAGACTTTAATAATAGAGGAAACTGGCCGGGCACGGTGGTCACACCTGTAATCCCAGCACTTTGGGAGGCTAAGGCGGGCAGATCACCTGAGGTCAGGAGTTCAAGACTAGCCTGGCCAACATGGCAAAATCCCATCTCTACTAAAAATGCAAAAAATTAGCTGGGCATGGTAGCGTGTGGCTCTAGTCCCAGCTACTTGGGAGGTTGAGGTGGGAGAATCGCTTGAACCTAGGAGGCGGAGGTTGCAGTGAACCAAGATAGTGCCACTGCACTCCAACCTGGGCGACAGTGCAAGACTCCATCTCAAAAAAAATAAATAATAGAGGAAACTGGGGAAGGGGGTTGGGGAGGGAGGTATATGAGAACTCTGTACTATGTGCACACTTTTTCTATGAATGTAAACTTGTTCTAAAAAAGTCTATTTTTAAAAAATGAGTGTACTGTTCTTGCACAGCCCCCAGAATGATATTTCTAAAACATACATTTGAGAAATCACTTCCCTCTCCTAAAAAAAAAAAAAAAAATTTTTGCTCCCCACCATCTATGGGAAATAAGTTCATATCCCATAGGCATGAGTAATTTGCACTGGCATTTATGGTTATGTTCCACCCTGCCATACCTCTCTTTCCCTCCTCTCCTGACTAGCTGGGCTAGACTACTTGACTCCATGCCCAGCTCATGCAGTCCCCTCTGTCTAGAACTTCTTTCTCCCTCTGCACTTGTGGAGCCTCACACTTATGGAGTCATACACTCTCCCGTAAATGAATCAGTCATCCTCTAGTCCTTGGTTCCACCAGTTCTATGTTAAAAGAAGATACGGGCCAGGTGCCATGGCTCATGCCTGTAACCCAGCACTTTGGGAGGCCAAGTTGGATCACTTAAGGCCAGGAGTTCCAGACCAGCCTGGTCAACATAGTGAGACCCTGTCTCTACTAAAAATTTAAAAATTAGAGCCAGGCCTGGTGGCTTACACCTGTAATCCCAACACTTTGGGAAGCCGAGAAGGGTGGATCACGAGGTCAGGAGATTGAGACCATCCTGGCTAACACGGCGAAACCCCATCTCTACTAAAAATACAAAAACAAAATTAGCTGGGTGTGGTGGTGGGCGCCTGTAGTCCCAGCTACTCAGGAGGCTGAGGCAGGAGAATGGCATGACCCCGGGAGGCGGAGCTTGCAGTGAGCCGAGATCACGCCACTGCACTCCAGCCTGGGCGACACAGCGAGTCTCTGTCTCAAAAAAAAAAAAAAAAAAAAATTAGGCCAGGTGCAGTGGCTCATGCCTGTAATCCCACACTTTGGAAGGCTGAAGTAGGTGGATCATTTGAGGTCAGGAGTTCAAGACCAGGCTGACCAACATGGTAAAACCCCATCTCTACAAAAATGCAAAAAAATTAGCCGGGTATGGTAGTGCACGCCTATAGTCCTAGCTACTTAGAGGGCTGAGGCGGGAGAATCGCTTGAACCCGGGAGACAGAGGTTGCAGTGAGCTGAGATTGTGGCACTGCACTTCAGCCTGGGCAACAGAGTGAGACTCCATCTCAAAAAAAAACAAAACCAAAAAATTAGCCAGGTGTGGTGGCATGTTCCTGTAGTCCCAGTGAGGCAGGAAAATATGGTCTGGAGGCAGGGAACAGAAGGCCAATTCACACTTTAGCTATAACAGGAAATATCCTCTCCATAGGGCATACGCCATAAATGACTTTGTAACTTTACTTCATCCTCTCCATTTACATAGGGTGTACCCGAAGTAACCAGTGGAATCCTCTGGGGGTATTTAAACTCCCAGAAATTCTGTAATGGGGTCTTTGAGCCTCGTGCTCTGGCCAACTCCCACACCGTGGACTGTACTTTGATTTTCAATAAATCCCTTCATTCCTTCCTTGCTTTGTTTGTGCGTTTTGTCTAATTATTTGTTCAAGACACCAAGAACACGGACACCCTCCACTGTTAACATATTTCTGTTAACACCAGCTACTTGGGATGCTGTAGTGGGAGATCACTTGAGCCTAGGAGTTGAAGGTTACAGTGAGCTATGATTGTGCCACTGCACTCCAGCCTGGGCAACAGAGCTAGACCCTATCCATCTTGAAAAAGGTTTAAAAAAATAAAAAGATACAGCAAAGCAAACATACGTTTTGGTCATTTTTGTGCTTCTTTCTAGTAAGAATTTAGAAGATGGATATGGGCCAGGCACAGTGGCTCACACCTGTAATCCCAACACTTCGGGAGGCCAAGGCGGGCGGATCACCTGAGGTCAGGAGTTTGAGACCAGCCTGGCCAACATGGCGAAACCTTGTCTCTACTAAAAATACAAAAATTAGCTGGGTGTGGTGGCTGGCGCCTGTAATTCCAGATACTCGGGAGGCTGAGGCAGGAGAATCGCTTGAACCTGGGAGGCGGAGGTTGCAGTGAGCAGAGATGGCTTCACTGTACTCCAGCCTGGGCAACAAGAGTGAAATTCTATCTCAAAAAAAAAAAAGAAAAAGAAAAAAAAAGAGGGTCTGTATATTCTATATATTAATCTTGGAAATGTTGAAAAAGAATTCTGATAGCCATGAGTGGGCAAAGAATTAATAACCTTGAGATGGAAACAGTGGAAGCAGAACAAGGCTATTGAATGTCAGGGAAAATCTGCTTGGGCTCACTTTCTAGGTGAGAGGCAGCAGGACACCCAGTTAGGAACAAGATCCCAGCAGTGAGGCCCTGCTCACTGACTGCTGACTGCTTGCCCATAATGACATCAGGAGAGAAGCCTCTGGGGTGTCACCTGCTCTGAAAGCCAATCTGCTTCTGAATGCTGCTTGCCCAAGCAAGGATGCCATGGCCATACAGTTTCAGGTATTTAACTTCCAGGGCATGACTGAGTGGAGGTGGAGTTGGCAGCAACATTACCGATGTTGCGGTCTCTACCTCCAAACTGTGGAGCCTCAGAAGAGAGTGTGAGAACAAAGGCAAGCTCCAGCTACTCAGGAGGCTGAGGCAGGAGGATCTCGTGAGCCCATGAGTTCAAAGTTACAGTGAGCTATGATCATGCCACTGCACTCCCACCTGAGTTACAGAGCAAGGCCCTGTCTCTAAAAAAAAAATTTTAATGAAAGAACAAAGGCAAGCAGCCTCCTAGGTGCTGAGTTGCTTTATTCTTACCTAGGGAGAAGGCTACCATTTACTGAGCCCTATTCTTTGCCAGCCACAATGCATATTTCCCTGCATTGTAATTTACATTGTTATTTACATTGTCATTGATGTCTTGTCTCCTTAACAGAGCTGCATCATCCTACCACTTCTCTGATAAGAATCTTAAGGAATACTGTACAATGGTAAATGACTTGCCTAAAGTTACCCAGCTGATTAATGTGACAGAGCCAGAGTTTTAAACCAAAACTATCTTTCTCCAAAGGTTCCAGGCATGAAGCATGTGCTGTCCTGGGCCCTGAATATCAAGCCAGGTAGAGGAACCCCATCCTTCTGTTGTCATTTCAAGCTAGAGGCTCAAGCCTGGAGGAGTGAGGATCAAGATCGAGAACTCAAAGCTGTTTAGAGGAAGAAGCCAAGTTCAAGGAGGAGTGAGGAACGGTAGGTGGAGATGCTTTGGCCTGGGGAGAGATCAGGTATTTGTGAGCAGCAAAGGTAGGGTGGCAGACAGACATCTACCAGGCCAGGTTATTGAAGTCAAGGTCACAGTGCCTTGTCTTAACCAGGCCATGTCTCTTTTTGCCCTGCCCACTTGGTTCTTCACAGCATCCAGATGTATTGCTGGGGCCTGGAGGGAGCTCCTCCACCATAAGCGGCTCTTCCTCCCTTCACAGCATCCCACGGCTGGGCCATGGGCTCTGCAACTGGCCCTTGGGGCAAAGAAAAGGGAGGAACTGTGCTTTCTGAGAAGTGCTCAGGAATAACCTGATGAGGGTTTCTTCGTGTTAGGAACTCCAGCATCTGAGTGGGCAGAGGAGCTCTCCGGCTTGCCCCCATTCCTCTGATGCGCCCCTAGCCTGGCCCATAGTTTGGGTTGTTTGGGCAGCCCTGCAGATTCCCTGAGCTGAGGGGCCTCTCTCTGGAGAGTGGGAAAGAATTCTGGCCTTTGTGTAACTGGCTTTATTATGTATGAATGTTGGCTCCCTTGGTTGAAAAATGATCACTCTATTGGGTTCTCCCAGCTTGAGGCGAAACCTTTTGGAAGCTCAGGAAGCTTGGAGGATTTCGTGGATTACAGAATGTTGAAGTTGGAGAACTGTAGAGGGGCCTAAAAAATGTTCCAGAATCAAGACGGTGCCTGATGCCCTACCTAGCCCCTCTCCAGCACACAGGAGCCCCGGGCCCTTGGCAATCATGTCTGCGCAGCTTGGACCCCATATCCAAAAGGGGAGCACGCCCCAATTTACTCTCACCCCACCAGGTGAGTGGAGGGCAGGTGACCTGCCAGTTCTCGAAAGAAGCCAGATGACTAACTTTGGTCGCCTTATCACAGGTTAATCCATGAGAAGAGCTTGGAACAGCGCCCGGCAGTGTCTCAGCGCACCCAAAGTGTGTGCAGGTATGATTACCATTGCCAGTAGCTGAGCTGGGAAAAGGATCTGACTAGATAATTTTGGCAATAACTCGACAACTATCCAATGTGGACAGGGAAACGCATGCCAAGGTTTCTAAAAAGCTCCCGCTGTGACACTCTCTGTGTCCTCCCCGGGCGTGGCGGCCTCCTGGCCAGGGACACCCGACCCCGCGTGGTCCGGGCTACCCAAGGACGTCCCGAGGCGTGGCGGAGACTTTGGCGGCTGAGTGCAGGCCGGGCTGCGGCCCAGCGGGACCTGGGCGAGGCCTGCGACCTGGGCGGGGCCAGGGTTGGGCTCTGCCAGAGCTGCGCCGCAGCCGCCCTGCCCGGGCCTCCCCGCCCCCACCTGTGACCTGGATTCCGCGGTTCCTGCGCGGGGGTGGAGGGCGTAAAGGACACGCGCAAATAAAGGTCTGTGGCCCAGGAAAACTTCAAGTCCTGAAATCGGTGCACCAAGGATACTTTAAGGCGAGGGGTCGGGGCTGTGTAATCATTTACCCGGTTCGTCCGTGTACACCGGCCTCTCTAGCTTACACCAACACATGTTTACTGGGTTCGCACCCAAGCCAGAGTCGGTTTGTTTAGTAATCCCACAGACGCTTCTGCCCGTTTTCTAGGAGACGGATCTGGGCCGAGGGGAGGCTTCAAAACATTAACATTTCTTTTTTCTTTCTTTCTTTCTTTTTTTTTTTTTTTTGAGACGGAGTCTCGCTCTGTCGCCCAGGCTGGAGTGCAGTGGCGCGATCTCGGCTCACTGCAAGCTCCGCCTCCTGGGTTCACGCCATTCTCCTGCCTCAGCCCCCCGAGTAGCTGGGACTACAGGCACCTGCCACCACGCCCGGCTAATTTTTTGTATTTTTCGTAGAGACGGGGTTTCACTGTGTTAGGATGGTCTCGATCTCCTGACCTCGTGATCCGCCCGCCTCGGCCTCCCAAAGCGCTGGGATTACAGGGGTGAGCCACCGCGCCCGGCCAAAACATTAACATTTCAAATAAATGCCCCCGGATTTGGGGGCGGGGTGCCTTAGGCTGCTTCTCCCCCAGGACTCCCCTTTGCACTGGGGTCACCCTGGGCATTACCTTGGGGCTGCCTGGGCCGCCTTTGTTGCGCAGGTGACCTTCCCGGCCGGGCCAGTGTCCCGGCTGCTCTGAGGGACAGTCCTGGCTCCGAAAGCGGGCGCCAGCGCTGAGCCAGGGCCCGCTCGAGATCGCATCGTCTCTGCTTTCAGTCGTTGTCCGCGCGGTGCTGGGGCCTCCCGGGACCCGGGAGCCGCGGCGGATTAGGCCGCCCGCCCCAACCTGGGCTTTGATCTTATCTGAGACTTGTGAGTCCAAAAGGGCTTAGCAACCGCAGCCATGGCAGCCCCAACGACGTGAACATCCGCACCTCTGAGCCTCCCCCTGAGAAGTACCTTCGAGGTGAGGCCTGCGCAGCCCCAGGAAGAGGGTGTGGGCGCAAACCTGAGGTGGGGAGCAAGGCCCGCCGGCTACACGGTTCCTGCCATCCTCGCTGCGCCCTTTCTCCCATGCTCGCGGCCTCCATCCGGCAGAAACTGGCACAGCAAACCCGACAGCCACAGACCTGTGGCCCCTTCCTTCCCTCCTCGCCTCCTCGGCAACCCTTGAAAGCACTCGAGTACGAAGTTATAATTGCAATTATAATTAGCTGAGTCCAACTTGGGCTTCCCCAGGTCTTGGCTTCCGTTAGGACAGTGTCCCGGGTCTCCCTGTCCTGCGCAGCCCCAGTTCCCAAGAAATAGTTGAATGAATGGATGTTTGCATCCCGTACCCAGCCTCAGGCTGTGTACTCCTTTCTCCAAGCACAGAGATTCTTCTGGAAGGCCCCAGGGATGGTGGAAAGGGAACTAGGCGTGAGGTTTGGTAAAATGAGGACAATACCAGCACCCCTCCACCTCCCCTTCCGAGAGAGGGATTTAGGAGGCACAAGTGAGATAGCCACACGACTCCTGACCAGTTGGCAAGCAGAAGGTCCTGGGCAACCTGGGTTTCATCTCGTGTTGTCCAGAAGCCGCAGTGGGTCTCCTGATGCAGAGCCTGCGTGGCAGTGTTGTTACAGTGGGTAGCGGCAGACATAAGCAGGGCAGGAGAGCCCCACCTCCAACCCTAGGAATATCAGAAGACCATCACGTGATCGTCAGGAGGCTGTTAAGCTGTCTAAAATAGTAATTGATCTCATCCAGCGCCAGAGAAAGGCAGTCTCCCCAATAGATAGAAAAACCCAAAACTGGTGATCAGCTTCCTAATTAGATCTCAGGAGTTGGGCGAGTAGGCTCAAGCATGTGAACTAAGAGACAAAATGGTGGAGTTGAACTGGCATATGAGTTCTCTCTGGGAACACTCAGCTGGTAAGAGAAAAACACCTCGTGAGCATGCACACCACTTCAGTAAACACACTGTGCCAGAGGCCCCTCCCAAGTAGTGGCAGGCCACCTCAAAGGAAGAATCAGGGGAGAAGGGATGCAACCACCCCACACACCCACCAAGCATGCCAACTTATAAGATTCCAAGTCAAAGGCCAAACCGTGCACTTGAATCTCTCAAGTCGCCCACTTGGCCCTCTTCCAAGTGTACTTTTAATTTTGTTCCTGCTCTAAAACTTTTTATTTTATTTTTATTATTTTTCGTGTGAGAGTCTTTATCACCCAAGCTGCAGTGCAGTGGTGCGACCTCCACTCACTGCAACCACCACCTCCCAGGTTCCAGTGATTCCCCTGCCTTAGCCTCCCAAGTAGCTGGGATTACAGGCGTGCACCACCGCGCCCAGCTAATTTTTGTATTTTTAGTAGCCATGGGTTTTCACCACTTTGGCCAGGCTGGTCTTGAACTCCTGACTTCAGATGATCCACCTGCCTCGGCCTCCCAAAGTGCTGGTGTGTCCAGAGTTGGTTTGTGGTCTCGCTGACTTCAAGAATGCAGCCGGGGACCTTGGCAGGTGAGTGTTACTGCTCCTGAAGATGGCATGGACCCAAAGAGTGAGTAGTAGCAAGGTTTCTTGTGAAGAGCAAAAGGACAAAGCTGCCACAGCGTGGAAGGAGACCCAAGCGGGTTGCCACTGCTGGCTGGGGGTGGCCAGCTTTTATTCCCTTATTGTCCCCACCCCACCCACGCCCCCCACCCCCACCCCCACCCACGCCCCCACCCACGCCCCCATGCCCCACCCCCCACTCTCCCCCACTCCCCCTGCTCCATGTTCCGTTTCTGTCCTATCAGAGTGTCCTTTTTTCAATCCTCCCCGCAGATTGGCTACTTTTAGAATCCTGCTGATTGGTGCGTTTTACAGAGTGCTGATTGGTGCGTTTTACAATCCTCTTGTAAGACAGGAAAGTTTCTAATTGGTGCGTTTTATCATCCTCTTGTAAGACAGGAAAGTTCCCCAAGTCCTCACTCGACCCAGGAAGTCCAGCTGGCTTCACTTCTCACTGGGATTACAGGCATGAGCCACCGCACCCGGCCATGTGCTTTTACTTTCATTCTTGCTCTAAAACTTTAATAAAACTTTCACTTCTGCTCCAAAACTTGCCTCTCTCCCTCCCCATCTTATGCCACTTGGTGGAATTCTTTTTTCTGAGGAGGCAAGGATTTGCCACCACTTACAGACTTTGGTGCCTACATTCCCTGGTGCTAACAGCCTCAACCTTTGAGAAACAGATATGTTTATTTTATTTTATTATTATTTTTTAACGAGACGGAATCTTGCTCTGTCGCCTAGGCTGGAGTGCAGTGGCACGATCTCGGCTCACTACAACCTCCGCCCCCGCCCGGGTTTAAGCAATTCTCCTGCCTCAGTCTCTGGAGTAGCTGGGATTACAGGCATGCGCCACCACACCTGGCTAATTTTTGTATTTTTAGTAGAGACGGGGTTTCACCATGTTGGCCAAGCTGGTCTTGAAGTCCTGATCTCATGATCCGCCCACCTCGGCCTTCCAGAGTGCTGGGATTACAGGTGTGAGCCACTGCGCCCGGTCAAGACATGTTTTGTTAAGTCTCTGTCACCTGAAAAATGTGCATGTCCTTCTGGTTTTGTGTGCACCTTGTTTCAGGCTCCCCCATGAAGTTTGCCCAAGCCCAGGTTTAGGAATCTTGTTCAGCATCTTCCTGATACCCACTTCCCTGCTTGTGCCCCTTGCTGGCCCACTTGCTGTTCCCCAGCAGGCGGCTTGGGCTGTACAGCTAGTTTCTTACTAGCAGTGAGCTTGGCTGTGGGAGTATCCCCTTTCTCTACACCCATCCCGACCCAAATTATTTCTTTCACCCTTCCTCCGCGGCAGCCAGGGGTCCTCACCTCCCAGCCTCACCAGCAACTGGGTGAGCCTTCTGATGTGGGGCCCACTGCCTAGGGGTTGTCTGCGTCCCCATGGCTGACACACTCCTGGGGCAGGGCCTTGACTTCACTTTATATCCTTCCCTCTACCCCGTTAGGCCAGTGGATTCTCACAATTCATAGCATTACCTTGCTGACTGGGCAGTGCTCCAGGACACCTGTGATGACTTCACTTCCAAGGTAATCCGCCAAATGTTCTTTTGACTGGAGATGCCACCAAGAAATCTCCAGACATTGGAAGGCATGCATAATAAATCCTAGGACTCAAAAACCTTGCAGGATTCTTCCACATAAAATGAGTGGTAAGGCTGGAGAACTACTTTGGGGCTTCCCACGTTGAGGGCTCTGCTTATATCCTGTGGGCTGCTCCACAGCAATGGAGTGAGACGCTCAGCAGATGCTGATGGAGGCCTTTCGTGTACCAGGCAGCAGGTTGGGGGCTGGAGGTCTCCAGAGCAAGTTGGGGCTGGGGAATCTAAAACAGCTGGCAGCCATAGTGTCTGTTTTTCAGAAGCACTTCCTGCTCTTCCTGAGCCGCTCTAAAGGTTTAAGATTTCTTTCGGCCCCTCCCACAACATTAGCTTCTCCTTCCTTTGTGCACTTGTTTCATCAGTGCCCACCTGAGCCAGGCTGGTACCCACCTGAGCCAGGCTGGTACCCACCTGAAGGAAGGCCGCCAAACAGCATCTAAGCCTGACTGCCAAAGGAAAGGCAGGACAGGGATTCTGAGGTTGGACACAGGCCAATCTGAGGTGCTTGGCCCTAGGGACGCAACAGTTTTTTGTTGTTGTTTGAGACAGAGTCGCGCTCTGTCGCCCAGGTTGGACTGCAATGGCGCTGTATCAGCTCACTGCAACCTCCACATCCCGGGTTCAAGCGAGTCTCCTGCCTCAGCCTCCTAAGTAGCTGGGATTACAGGTATGCCACCACACCCAGCTTATTTTTGTATCTTTAGTAGAGACAGGGTTTCACCATGTTGGTCAGACTGGTCTCGAACTCCTGACCTTGTGATCCTTCTGACTCGGCTTCCCAAAGTGCTGGGATTACAGGCATGAACCACCACGCCTGGCCCGCAACAGTTTGTTTGTTTGTTTGTTTGTTTGTTTGTTTGTTTGAGATGGAGTCTTGCTTTGTCACCCAGGCTGGAGTGTAACGGCACCATCTCGGCTCACTGCAACCTCCGACTCTGGGTTCAAGTGATTCTCCTGCCTCAGCCTCCCAAGTAGCTGGGATTACAGGCGTGTGCCACCACGCCCAGCTAATTTTTTTGTATTTTTGGTAGAAACAGGCTTTCACCATGTTGGCCAGGCTGGTCTCAAACTCCTGGCCTCAAGTGATCCACCTGCCTTGATCTCCCAAGGTGCTGGAATTACAGGCGTGAGCCACCGTGCCCGGCCTTCAACAGTTTTTAAATTAAAAAAAAAAAAAAAGGCTGGGCACAGTGGCTCATGCCTGTAATCCCAACACTTTGGGAGGCCAAGGTGGGCGGATCACGAGGTCAGGAGTTCAAGATCAGCCTGACCAACATAGTGAAACCCCACCTCTACTAAAAAAATACAAAAAATTAGCCAAGCGTGGTGGCAGGCGCCTGTAATCTCAGCTACTTGGGAGGCTGAGGCAGGAGAATTGCTTGAACCCGGGAGGCGGAGGTTGCAGTGAGCCGAGATGGCGCCACTACACTCCAGCCTGGGCGACAGTGCAAGACTCCGTCTCAAAATAATAATAATAATAATTTTTTAACGATCATTTTTGTTCTTTAGTGTAGCAAAATATAAAAAATAAAAATTATACCTAGCTATCTCTCAGATCTTCATTCTAATACCATTCTCTAATAAAAGGAACTAGGGCCCCTAGGAGAAACTGCTGATTCTAGGACTGGGGGTAGGAAATACATAAGATGATCCTGGAGTACCTTGTAGTGTCAGAAAGTAAGGGAGTACTAAAAAACAAAAACCTAAAAATCCAATGCTGAGGCTATGTCAAAAAAACGAATGAGCCAGGCGCAATAGCACACGCCTGTAATCCCAGCACCTTTGGGAGGCTGAGGCGGGTGGATTGCTTGAGCTCAGAAGTTCAAGGCCAACATGGGCAGCATGGTGAAACCTCATTTCTACAAAAACTACAAAAATTAGCCAGGCATAGTGGCACATGTCTGTGGTGCCTGTCTGTAGTCACTGTTACTCAGGAGGCTAAAGTAGAAGGATCACTTCAGTCCAGGAGGTTGAGGCTGCAATGAACCAAGATCGCACCCCTGCACTCCAGCCTTGGCAACAGAATGAGACCCTGTCTCAAAAACAGCAAAAACAAAGACAAATGGAAAAGAGCTCCCAGTGGCCAAAGCAGGAACAATTTAAGAAACAAAATCAATAATATTGGATTATGAACCAAAGTATAAAATAAATATCTGTGAGTCTGTACCAATATAAATACATGATTGAATAGATAAAAGGAGAATTACAGATAAATCTCCCATGCAGAAGAATACCAAATAATTAATATGGCTACTGTGCCCTCAGGGAAGGGAACATTACTCCACACTCCTTCAGTGTAGGTTGTACTTAGTGACTTCCTTCCAAAGAGTACATATAGAAAAAGAGAAAAAAAAACTGCATGGAGAAATCTGACAAATACTACCTCAGCCAAGTGATCAAGTCATTGATATGTCATATTGATAGGTCATTTTGAGAGTATATACCCTAAAATACAAAAATTAGCCGGGGGTGGCAGTGGGCACCTGTAATGCCAGCTACTATGGAGGCTGAGGCAGGAGAATCACTTGAGCCTGGGAGGTGGAGGTAGCAGTGAGCCGAGAGAGATCAAGATCGCACCACTGCACTGCAGCCTGGGCAACAGAGAGACTCCGTCTCAAAAAAAAAAAAAAAAAAAAAAAAAAAAGGGGAGAGTATGTACCCTTGATATGATGTGATGAAAATGGGACTTTGGGACTTTGGTCGGGCATGGGGGCTCACACCTGTAATCCCAGCTCTTTGGGAGACTCAGGCTGGTGGATCACGAGGTCAGGAGTTCAAGACCAGCCTGGCCAATATGGTGAAACCCCGTGTCTACTAAAAATACATAAGTTAGCTGAGTGTGGTGGTGCATGCCTGTAGTCCCAGCTACTCGGGAGGTTGAGGCAGGAAGAATTGCTTGAACCTGGGAGGCAGAAGTTGCAGTGAGTCGAGATCACGCCACTGTACTCCACCCTGGGCGACAGAGCAAGACTCCATCTAAAAAAAAAGAAGAAGAAAATGGGACTTTACCTTGTGGTTCTACTCCTAAAAATCCACACCCTTAGTTCAACCATGAGAAAAACACCAAATAAATTCTATTAGATATACTACAAAACACTGAACTTGGCCGGGTGCAGTGGCTCACGCCTGTAATCCTAGCACTTTGGGAGGCCAAGGTGGGCAGATCACTTGAGGTCAGGAGTTCAAAACCAGCCTGGCCAACTGGTGAAACCCTGTCTCTACTAAAAATACAAAAAAATTAGCTGTGCATGGTGGTGGACGCCTGTAATCCCAGCTACTCAGAAGGCTGAGACAGGAGAATCACTTGAACCTGGGAGGTGGAGGTTGTAGTGAGCTGAGATCACGCCACTGCACTCCAGCCTGGGTGACAGAGCAAGACTCTGTCTCAAAAAAGAAAAAAAACAAAACACAACACAACAACAACAACAAAAACACTGAACTTAAAGTACCCCTTAAAATTGTCATGGTCGGCCAGGTGCAGTGGGGTCATACCTGTCATTCCAGCACTGTGGGAGGCTGAGGCAGGTGGATAGTTTGAGCTCAGAAGTTCAAGACCAGCGTGGGGAACATGGTGAAACCCCATCTCTACAAAAAATACAAAAAAATTAGCCAGTGTAGTGGTGCACACATGTAGTCCCAGCTACTCAAGAGGCTGAGGTGGGAGGATGGCTTGAGCCCGGGAGGTGGAGGTTGCAATGGGCCAAGATCAGTCCACTGTACACCAGGCTGGGTGACAGCCAGACCCTGTCTCAAAAAAAAAATTGTCACAGTCATTAAAATAAGGAAAGTCAGACAAACTGTCCCAGCTAAGAGCAGCTTAAGGGGACGTGACAAGTAAATGTAATATGGTATCCTGGATGGGCTCCTGCCACATGAGAAGGCTATTAGGTAAAAATCAAGAAAAGCTGAATAAAGTATGGACTTTAGTTAGTGATATTATATCCATATTTGTTCATTAATTTTAACAAGTATACCATACTAAGGTAAGATATTAATAATAGGGGAAACTGGATGTAAGGTATATGGAAATTTTCTGTACTATTTTGTCAATTTTTCTGCAAATCTTTTTTTTTTTTTTTTAGATGGAGTTTCGCTCTGTCCCCGAGCCTGGAGTGCAGTGGCGTGAGCTCGGCTCCCAGCTCACTGCAACCTCCACCTCCCGAGTATCTGGGATTACAGGCGCCCACCACCATGCCCGGCTAGTTTTTGTATTTTTAGTAAAAACGAGGTTTTACCATGTTGGCCTGGCTGGTCTCAAACTCCTGACCTCAAGTAATCTGCCGGCCTCAGCCTCCCAGAGTGCTGGGATTACAGGCATGAGTCACCATGCTCGGCCAATTTTTCTGTAAATCTAAAACTGTTCTAAAAATAAAGTCGGTTTATTTATTTATTTATTTAGAGACAGAGTCTCACTCTGTCACCCAGGCTGGAGTGCAGTGGCACAATCTCTGCTCACTGCAACCTCCGCCTCCCAGATTCAAGCGATTCTCTTGCCTCAACCTCCCGAGTAGCTGGGACTACAGGCACGTGCCACCACACCCAGCTAATTAAGTCTGTTATTTTTAAAATTACATCTGTTTGTTTGGGTTTGATTTTTGAGACGGAGTCTTGCTCTGTCACCTAGGCTGGAGTGTAGTTGCACAATCATGGCTTACTGTAGCCTTCACCACCTGGGCTCAATCAATCCTCCTGCCTCAGCCTCCCAAGTAGCAGGGACTACAGGCATGCACCACCATGCCCAGCTAATTTTTATATTTTTTTTTTGTAGAGATGGGTCTCACTGTGTTGCCCAGGCTGGCTGGCTATTTTTTTCTGTTTTCTGTAGAGACAGGGGTCTCACTATGTTGCCCAGGCTGGTATCAAACTCCTGGACTCAAGCAATCCACTCACCTCAGCCTCCCAAAATGTTGGGATTACAGGCATGAGCCACCACACTTAGCCTAAAAGCTACATCTGTTTTAATATGAACTACCTAGTACCTGGCAAGAAGATGGGCTGAGGGGAGGTCCTGCAGACTGAAGCCTCAGAGCCTCAGAGCATCCACCTCTGTTAGTGCATCCAGTATTCCTGACATAGAAAGAGGAATATTATCCTATTTTTTTTTTCCAGACAGGGTCTCACTGTGTTGCCCAGGCTGGAGTGCAGTGGTGCGATCTCGGCTCACTGCAATCTCTGCCTCCTGGGTTCAAGCGATTCTTATGCTTCAGCCTCCTGAGCAGCTGGCATTACAGGCGCCTGCCACCATGCCCCCCTAATAATCCGGCGAGGGATACTATTCCTTTTTAAATGACTGGCAGTTAGGACTGTTTGTTTTGTTTGCAACAACCATGTAAAGGCAAAGCCACCCATGTGGTTTGGAAGGGCAGGAACTGGTCCTGTGCCAAGGTGTGCCTTCTCTCTCTGTGGTGGAGGGGGTGGTGGGGCCTGCAGGGAACTGGGCAAACTCAGGCCCTGCCAAAAGGGATGACAGATGCTCCCCTCCAGCTGACAATAGCCGTGGGACAGAGAGGACCCAGAACTGCCAGATCTTTCCATATTTCAAAAGAAATGATTAATCTAGCTTTTCATGTGAAGTCTCCTGATTTTTAAATGTTGCCAACTAATTCTAACTTTATTTAAACACTGCTCACTATATAAACAATATTCATCTAGCTCACTATACAATACACATCCAGGCAAGTGCTACCTAGATTGAGTTACTCAAGGGCGGGATAATCTGGCTTTATTCTTTCTGTGACCCTCAGGACCCTGCACAGCACCTGATGCGTGATTCCTACTCCAAAATATATATGGAATAGTGAACAAAATAATACAGTTAGGGAAATGAGACATAAATATATTGACAATTATTTATTTATTTATTTTGATATGGAGTTTCACTCTTGTCATCCAGGCTGCAGTGCAATGGCATGATCTCATTTCACTGCAACCTGCATCTCCCGTGTTCAAGTGATTATCCTGCCTCAGACTCCCGAGTAGCTGGGACTACAGGAACGTGCCACCATGTCCAGCTAATTTTTGTATTTTTGGTAGAGGCAGGGTTTCACCATGTTGGCCAGGCTGGTCTTGAACTTCTGACCTCAGGTGATCCTCCCGCTGCGGCCTCCCAAAGTGCTGGGATTACAGGCTTGAGCCACTGTGTCCAGCCTATATTGACAATGATCAAACATGAATAGAATGGGTTGTGACACAAATAACCACCATGAATCTTCGTGATTCTCCCAGCAATTCAGTATTGATTTTGATTTACAATTTTGGCATAGATAATTAGCTCCAGGGGTTTCCACTTGGATGTCTTCATTGCATGAACTAAGGGGGTATTGTGATTCTCACAATAGCTATATATGGCTATTCAGGAAAGTGGGAATAACTCCAGAATGGTTTTGAGCATGTATCAGTCAGCTTAGGCTAAGTTATACTGAAGTAACAAATGACCCAAATGTCAGAAGCTTACAATGAAAATTTTTCTTTCTCGTACTGTATGTCCATCTTGGAGTAACTTCAGCTCTGCTTCAGGCCATCTTTATTTGCGTACCCAGGCTGACAGTAGGCCCAATCTAGATGTTGCCAGAGGAAAAAGAGAGATGGCAAACCACACACTGCCTTAAACCTTCTGCTCAGAAGTGACATGTCACTGATGCTCACATTGCATTGACCAAAGTAAGTCTGCCCTCTATGGAGGATGGATGTGTGGTTTTTCCACAGGGCAGTAACACATTATATCACAATTGGCCTTTCTGGTCTCTGATATCTGGCGTATCTCCAGGCCTGATGTCATTGGGACAGGGAAAGCCTATAGTGCCTCAGAATCAAGCTAAAACACCATTTGTCACCTGATCACCATAAACTCAATTTCTACCAGTGGATCAAAGAGGTGTTCTGGATCCCCAGAAAATAGAGTTAGAGCTCATTATAGTGTCCCATAATCTCAGATAAAATTATTTTTTTCCTCCACTGCACAGTTAATCTGGAAAAAGCTTGTAGGCCTGTAGTGGTTAATTATATGTGTCAACTTGACTAAGCCGTGGGTTGCCTAGATATTTAGTTAAACATTATTCTGGGGGCCTGGCACGGTGGCTCACACCTGTAATCCCAGCACTTTGGGAGACCAAGACAGGCGGATCAGGAGGTCAGGAGTTTGAGATGAGCCTGGCCAACATAGTGAAACCCCATCTCTATTAAAAATACAAAAATTAGCCGGGCATGGTGACGCACACCTGTAGTCCCAGCTACTTGGGAGACTGAGGCAGGAGAATCGCTTGAACCCAGGAGGCAGAAGTTGTGGTGAGCCGAGATCATGCCACTGCACTCCAACCTGGGCAACAGAGCAAGACTCCATCTCAAAAAAACAAAACAAAACAAAACAAAACAAAAACTTTATTCTGGGTATGTCTGTGAGAGTGTTTCCAGATGAGATTAGTATTTGAACCAGTAGACTTAGTAAAGCAGATGGCCCTCTCCAATGTGAGTGGAACTTATCCATAAACTTTACTGTTTCTACTTGACTGTCTGTGACCTGGGACATCAGTCTTCTCCTGTCTTTGGACTGAGTCATGAACTAGAACTTACACCATCAACTTTCCTCGGGCTCCAGCTTGCTGACTACAGGTCTTGGGACTTCTCAGCCTCTATACTCATGTGAGCAAATTCCTTTTAATAAATCTCTTGCTGGGCATGATAGCTCATGCCTGCAATCTCAGCACTTTGGGAGGCTGACATGGGCAGATCGCTTGAGTTCATGAGCATCCTGAGCTAAACAGTGAAACCTCCTCTCTACAAAAAGTACAAAAATTAGCAGGGCATGGTGGTTTGTGCCTGTAGTCCCAGCTACTAGGGAGGCTGAGGGTGGCAGGATGGCTTGAGCCCAGAAGGCAGAGGTTGTAGTAAGCTGAGATTGCACCACTGCACTCCAGACTGGGTGATAGAGCCAGATCTTGTCTCAAAATAAATAAATCTCTATGTGTGTGTACACACAAATGTATATATATGTATATATATAAACGTATATATGTATATGTATGTATATATGTATATATACACATATATGTTATATATACACACACCATATATATATATATATTTATTTATTTATGGTTCTTTTTACTTGGGGAACCCACATTAATACAGATTTCAGTACTAAGAAGTGGGGTGTTGCTGTAACAAATACCTAAACATATGGAGGCACCTTTGGAACTCGACAGTGGGGAGAGGCTACAAGAGTTTTGAGGTAAGTATTAGAAATATGGGCATTAAGGGAAATCCTGTTGAAGTCACAGGCAGAAATAAGGAACGTGTTATTGGAAACTGAAGGAATGATGATCCTCATAATAAAATGGCAAAGAACTTGGCTGAATTTCAATTTTCCTGTGTTTTGTGGAAGACAGAACTTGTGGGTGATAAAACTGGATATTTAGCTGAGGAGATTTCTAAGCAAAGTGTTGAAGGAGTGGCTTGGTTCCTCCTCATTGCTTACAGTAAAGTGTAAGAAGAGAGAGATGACTTGAAAAAGGAATTGTTAAGCAAAAAACACCAGAACTTGAAGATTTGGATGGTCTTCAGCCTGTTTGTATTGCAAAAAATGAGAAAGCTTGTTCTGAAGGAACACTAAGGGTGTGACCAGACTATAACTTTGCCAGTTTGAATAAAAAGGGACAGATATGGGATGAAATGAAGAAAAACTGTGGGACTTCTTAGATTCTGTAAGACAGGACAATGGAGCTATTTGGCTGCAAAATGTGTGTTTTTCTTCAAAAAGTTGGAAAAATGACCTTGAGAACCCCAATGGTGATTCAGAGACCTGCCTCAATTTCAACTGGCTAGATGGCCACCACTTAAAGTCTTGGGGATGGAATCATCATGCAAAGCCTTCAGACTAGGCTGCCCAGAGCCTTGGAGGTCACACCCTGCCTGGCAGAGCTGCAGAGGCAAGACCACTGTCCCAGTGAGCCCTCAAGATGGACCAGCACCCCAGTGGGTCTACACAGCACAGCATCAAACCAAAGAGGATTATTCTCAGACTTAAGATCAAATGGAACACACCTTGCTAAGTTTTGGACTTGCTTAGGTCGCATCACCCTGTCCTTCTTTCCTATTTCTTTCTTTTTTTTTTTTTTTTTTTTGAGACAGAGTTTCGCTCTTGTGCTGGAGTGCAGTGGCACAATCTCGGCTCACTGCAACCTCCACCCCCTGGGTTCAAGCAATTCTCCTGCCTCAGCCTCCCTGGTAGCTGAGATTACAGGCATGTGCCACCATGCCCAGCTAATTTTGTATTTTCAGTAGAGACAGGGTTTCACCATGTTGACCAGGCTGGTCTCGAACTCCTGACCTCAGGTGAGCCACCTGCCTCGGCCTCCCAAAGTGCTGGGATTACAGGTGTGAGCCACTGCACCTAGCCTCCTATTTCTTCCTTTTGGAAGTTGTAATGTTTATCCTATGACTTTCCCATCATTGTATTTGTCTGGTTTCACAGGTTGAACACTGGAGAGGAATTTTGCCTTAGGATGAAGAACACCTCAAGTCTCACCCATACTAGTCTAGATGAAACTTTGGACTTTAGACTTTAGAGCTGGTGCTGGACTAAATTAAGACTTTTGGGACTGGTGGGATGGGATGAATGAATGAAAAATACAGTTTGAGCTACGGTAAACCTCAGTGCACTTTTAGGGTGCCAGGGGCATAATACTATAAACTGAATGTGTTCTCCCCAAAATTCATATGTTGAAACCCAAACCCCCAATATGATAGTATTTAGAGATGTGGTCTTTGGAAAGTAATTAGGGTTAGTTTAGGTCATAAGGATGGGGCTGTCATGATGGGATTATTGGCCTTATAAGAAGAGGAAGAGAAGGAGATCTCTCTCTTCACATACATGCACCTCGGCCATGTGAGGGTGTAGCAAGAAAGCAGCCATCAACAAGTCAGGAAGAGAGAGATGTACAGCCCATCATGTTTCTACAGGTTCAGGTATAACTGAAAAACTCGAAGTCTGGCAAACAGAGGCTTGACTCAAGCCATCATGATAAAAAGAAACAGTTTTTGTCCCAATTTCCAAGCCCGAGTCAGCTCTCAGGTCCAGAGCCCCTTGAATAAATGCACCCTGAAGGAAAGAGCCTACAATAACTTTCTGAGTATACAGTGTAGCATTTCCTCCAAGCCTTTCCTTAGGAGGCCTTGTGTTAATCAACTTGGGCTGCTAAAACAAAATATGATAGATTGGGTGGCTTAAACAACAGAAATTTAACTCTCAGAGTTCTGGAGGCTGGGAAGTCCAAGATCAAGGTTCTGGCTAATTCAGTTCCTGGTGAGGTGATTTTTTTTTTTTTAATTCAAATCATTTTCATTCTGTCATTCACATGAGGAACCCTGGTTGAGAAAGGTTGCACTAAAGTATTAGGGGATAATCACAACAGCAACTTACTCTCAGATGCTTCTTGGTTGGGAGGCGGGGGGAATCTGAGATTATTTCAAGTCTAAAAAAAAAAAAGAAAGACAAAGAATATGCTATAAATTCTCAATCTAAAGCATGGTCCAGTGACTCTCTGTGATTGTGTTAAAAGAATAGCTACAGGGCTGAGGTAGCCAAAAATTAGACCTGAAATTTGAGCAATAGTTTGATAAATGACAGTATCGGTTGAATTCATAGCCTCACCAAGTTCCTTAGGTTGAAGTAAAGGCAATGATGAGTAAATAGAAGGATTCTCAAAAGTGCACTGAGGCTTACAGTACTGCACTGAGCCTTGGTTGTCTGAGGAGTCACCTTGCCTGAAGAGTTCTTAGAGACCTCACTAGAGGAATGACCTGCCAGAGGAGTTGAATTCTGTACATCCCCACCCAGTGCTGAATCCAGACCTACTACTAGAACTGTGGTTCTCAATTTCAGCTGCACATTGGAGTCACCTGGAAGGCTTAAAAAACACTGGATCCTATCCCCAAAAATTTTGATTTAATTGGTCTGGGTTCTAATGTACTTATTTATTTATCTATTTATTTTTATTTATTTATTTTTGAGACAGAGTCTTGCTCTGTCACCTAGGCTGGAGTACAGTGGCACAATCTCAGCTCACTGCAGCCTCCACCTCCTGGGTTCAAGTGATTCTCTTGCCTCAGCCACCTGAGTAGATTACAGGCATGCACCATCATGCCTGGCTAATTTTTGTGTTTTTAGTAGAGACAAGGTTTTGCCATGTTGGCCAGGCTGGTCTTAAACTCCTGGCCTTAAACTCCTGGTCCTTAAACACCTTGGCCTCCCAAAGTTCTGGGATTGCAGGCGTGAGCCACCACACCTGGTCCAATTATTCTTTTTGTTGTTGTTGCCGTTGTTGAGACAGAGTTTCACTCTTGTTGCCCAGGCTGGAGTGTAATTACGTGATCTTGGCTCACTGCAATGCTGCCTCCCAGGTTCAAGCAATTCTCCTGCCTCAGCCTCCGGAGTAGCTGGGATTACAGGCATGCCCCACCATGCCCGGCTAATTTTGTCTTTTTAGTAGAGATGGGGTTTCTCCATGTTGGTCAGACTGGTCTCGAACTCTTGACCTCAGGTGATCCGCCTGCCTCGGCCTCCCAAAGTGCTGACATTACAGGCATGAGCCACTGTGCCTGGCCCTAATTATTCTTAATGCATTTATTTGTATGATCATTCTCCTGTATGTCACCCATCTTCCAATACTGCTGCCACCCCCATATAAGCACAGACACCCTCCTCAGACACACTTGGGCTTCAACTCCTCAAGCCAGCCTGTCTCTCCCACATGGATGCCTTCTTTATCCTGCTCGGGCTCTGAACATCTATGCCCGGTTTCCCAGCTCTGTGTATGTCCTCCTTACTCTGCTCAGGCTTTGAGACCACATACCAGCCTGCCTCTCCACATGAATGCTCTCCATAGCAGTCTTAAAATTATTTGATACATCACTCTTCAAAAGGTGCAGCCTACTTCCCCTCCCATTCATTGTGGGCTGGATTTAGCAACTGACTTTTAATGAATACAATATGATGGAAATGATACTATATGACCCTCTAGGCTAGATTGTAAAACGGATAACTTCTTTTGTCTCACTCTCTAGACATGCTCACTCTAGAAGAAACTAGTTGCCATGTTGTGAGGATACTCAACAGTCCTGTGGAGGGGGCCACATGTAGAAAGACCGCATGTGGAAAGAAACTGACTTGCTAGCAGCAACTTTACAGGTATGTATGAAATAAACCACCTTGGAAGAAGATCCTCCAGCCTCTCAGTCAAGACTTAAGAGAATTTCAGCCTTCAATCATTTAATCTGCCAGCCAGGACCCCAGACACTGCAGAACAGAGACAAACATTCCTGCTGTGCCCTCTCTGAATTCTTGACCCACAGGAACTGTGAGACAGTGAAAGATTATTGCCATTTTGACCTTCTAAGTTTTGGTGTAATTTCTTTCTTTTTTTTTTTTTAATTGAAACAGAGTCTCGCTCTGTTGCCCAGGCTGGAGTGCAGTAGTGCAATCTCCGCTCACTGCAACCTCCACCTCCCAGGGCAAGTGATTCTCCTATCTCAGCCTCCCGAGTAGCTGGGGTTATAGGTGAGCACCACCAGGCCCAGCTAAATTTTTTGTATTTTTAGTAGAGACAGGGTTTCACAATGATGGCCAGGCTGGTCTCGAACTCCTGACCTTGTGATCTGCCCACCTTGGCCTCCCAAAGTGCTGGGATTACAGGCATGAGCCACCGTGCCTGGCCTAGTATAATTTCTTATGCAGTAAGAAATAACTAATACACTTTCATTACCCTGCTCAGAATCTGTTATGGTCTGAATGTTCCCCCAGGATTCGTGTGTCAGAAACTTAATCTCTAGTGCAACAGTGTTAAGAGGTGAGGCCTTCTTGGAGGTGTTCAGATCATGGGGGCTCCACCCTTATGAGTGGATTAATGCCTCTGTAAAAGGACTTGGGATGGGGGTTCCTTCCCTCTTACCCTTCCACCTTCCACCATGTGAAGACACAGCAAGAAGGCCCTTTGCACAATGCCAGTACCTTGATCTTGGGCTTCCCACCCTCTAGAACTGTGAGAAAAAAATTTCTGTTTTTTATAAATTATCCAGTTTCAGATATTCTGTTACAGCAGTGCAAAACAGACTAAGACAGGCTCTCATACTCTCACCAAGCTACTCCTCTGCAGCGATGCCCTTCTCATCCTTCTCATGCTAGATCACCCTCCTATGTAAACACCCTCCTCATCCAGCTCAAGTCCTGACTCTGAAGGCCATGCAGCCCTCCTATCGTAATGCCTTCCTTACCCCACAAGCCTCCAGCATCCCGCTCCGTGCCTCCATAGCTCCCTCCTCTCCGGGCACAAATGCCTTTCTTGCTATGTCTTACCTAATGCCCTTAGGATTAAACTTTTCGGGAAACAAAGAAGATAAAAGAAGGGAAGGATTGCTTATCAACCTCTTTCCTTAAATTGCCCAGCAGAGTTCAAATCAATGGTGACACCCATAGTCCTTGAATTACTCATTTCCTGTATGCTGTTTTGGGTGGCAGCCCCTGGATCCCTCAGAGCCTTGCCTCAGTGAGTACTTCATTAAAGGCAACCCTAAACAACAGTTGCATCGCTTCTTTCATCACCTCGTGCCCTAACTTACAAGTTCCCATCCCTAAATGATTATTGTATTAGTTATCTCTTGATGCGTAATACATTACCCCACAGTTTAGAGACTTAAAACAACACACACTTGCGATCTCACAGTGTTGGTGGGTCAGGAATCTGGGCACAGTTTGTGTCCTCTGTGCCAGCTCTCACAAGGTGGCAGTCAAGGTGTCAATTGAGGCTGCGTTCTCATCTGAAGACTGGGGATGGATCTATGTTCAAGCTCACTCACCTGCTTGTTGACGGGATTCAGTTTCTTACAAACTGTTGGCAGGGATCAACCTCAATTTCTTGCCATCTGGAGCTGTCCAGCATGTCAGCTAGCTTCATCAATGCATGCAGACACAGAAAGCGTAGAGAAAGACAGAAGTCACAGTCTTTGATAACCTAATCATGAAAGTCATATCCCATCACTTCTGCCATATTCTTTTTGTTAGAAGCAAATCATTGGGTCTGGATTACATGGGTGAACACCAGGAGGCAGGAATCTTGGCGAGCCATCTTTTTTTTTTTTTTGAGAGAGAATCTTGCTCTGTTGCCCAAGCTGGAGTGCAGTGGCATGATCTCGGCTCCTCTGCCTCCCGGGTTCAAGTAATTCTCCTGCCTCAGCATCCCAAGTAACTGGGATTACAGGCATGCACCACCACACCCGGCTAATTTATGGTGAGCCATCTTAAGGGCAACCTACCACAGTAATCTTCAACCCTATCTAGGGTAGAAAACCAGTCGCATGTCTTCTCCATTCCCCTGAGTCTATTGCTTATACCTCATACCTCCGTATGAATTGCTTTTCTGTGTAGGATTCTTGGTTACAAAATTAAAAACTGATTCTGCTTAACTTAAGCAAAAATGGTCTCTATAAAATTAGACTTAGAGGCTGGGCACAGTGGCTCACATCTGTAATCCCAGCAGTTTGGGAGGCCAAGGCAGGCAGATCATGAGGTCAGGAGTTCGAGACCAGCCTGGCCAATATGGTAAAACCGTCTCCACTAAAAATACAAAAATTAGCTGGGCGTGGTGGTGCATGCCTGTAGTCCCAGTTACTCAGGAGGCTGAGGCAGAAGAATCTCTTGAACCCTGGAGGTGGAGGTTACAGTGAGCCGAGATCACGCCACTGCACTCCAGCCTGGGTGACAGAGCAAGGCTCCAGCTCAAAAAATAAATAAATAAATAAATAAATAAATAAGACTTAGAATTCTAAGAATCTTTTTATATTCTCAAGAATGACCACTAGGTATGTAGTGAATACATCATGGTTTTTGTTTGTTTGTTTGTTTGTTTTCTTTAGAGACAAGATCTCGCCATATTGCCCAGGATGGTCTCAAACTCCTGGGCTCAGGCTATCCTCCCACCTTGCCCTCCCAAAGTGCTAAGATTACAGGCGTGAGCCACTGCACCCAGCCCATCGTGGTTTTTTGAATGAGTGAGTGAAAGGATAAATGTAAAAGTGAATAAATTAACAAAATCTCCAGTAGTAAGTGCGTGTTATCTGGTGGCATATTTGGCTTGGGAAATCCCTTAAAAACGGGAGCTGTTTTATTTATTTATTTATTTAGGTTTTGTTTTTGAGACAGAATCTCACTCTGTCACCCAGGCTGGAGTGCAGTGGCACGATCTCGGCTCATTGCAACCTCCGCCTCCCAGGTTCAAGTGATTCTCTTGCCTCAGTCTCCCGAGTAGCTGGGATTACAGGCTCATGCCACCATGCCCAGCTAAGTTTTGTATTTTTAGTAGAGACAGGGTTTCACCATGTTGGCCAGACTGGTCTTGAATTCCTGACCTCAAGTCATCCACCCACCACGGCTTCCCAAATGCTGGGATTACAGGTGTGAGCCACCGCACCCAGTGGGAGCTGTTTTAATAACAGGATATCTATGCATTCACTTGGAAAGTTGTCAACAATATATTATGAGGTGACAAAAGTATGTTCTAGAACATTTTTTTAAATTCAGATACATTTAATTCCAAGAAGTTGTCAACTTTTCAAGTGTCGAATAACAAAATCCAGGGCAAGGTCATGGTGGGGCTATCGATTGGTGATTTGGAGATTTTTAAGAGGATTAAAGAATAGCAGTCTCACAGGAGGCATTGGACACCCCAAAGAGAATCAATATTGGTGGCTCCACCAGTCCTCTGAAAAAGAGAGTTTATCAATTTTTTATTGCTCCGCATACATTATCCCAAAATATAGTGACTTAAAGCAACAGCAGTCATTTTATTACCTCACTCTGTTCCTGCAGTTGACTGGACTCAGCGAGGCAATTCTTGCTGGGATCTTTCAGGCAGTTGTAGTCAAGCCACGGTTGGGGCCTGCAGGCTTCCTCACAGCTGGGGTTTCAGCTAGATCACCTATATATGCCTCTCTCTGTGTGGCCTAGGTTTCCTTGCATCACAGCACCTGGATCTATGTATGAGTGTCCCAAGGAGAGAAAGCCTGGGTGGCAGCTGATCTGCTCTTATAACCTGGCCTCAGAAGTCATGTTGCGTCAGTTCCTCTGTATCCCATTTATTAAAAGCTAATTACTAGAAGCAGCCCATATTCAAGGGAAGGGAAATTGGACTCCATTCTTTTTTTCTTTTTCTTTTTTTTGAGATGGAGTTTCACTCTTGTCACCCAGGCTGGAATGCAATGGCACGATCTGAGCTCACTGCAACCTCTGCCTCCCAGGTTCAAGCAATTCTCCTGCCTTGGCCACCCGAGTAGCTGGGATTACAGGCACCCACCACCACACCTGGCTAATTTTTGTATTTTTAGTAGAGACAGGGTTTTACCATGTTGGCCAGGTTGGTCTCGAACTCCTAACCTCAGGTGATCCGCCCACCTCAGCCTCCCAAAGTGCTGGGATTTCAGATGTGAGCCACAGCGCCTGGCCTTAGACTCCACTAATTGATGTAAAGCATCTCCAAGGACATGTGGACATATTTTAAAAACCACCACAGGAGCTATTAAGCTGGCTGCTCTGGGCTCTGCAAGTGAAGTCTTCCCAGGCAAATGCAATGACAGCTGAATAATGAGGAGGGTGCACACCAACTTTAGGAAACACAGACATGGGGACAGACCCTGGCCATGCCATGGTCTAGGGCATGGGGCACAAGCAGAGTTCATTTTCTACGCCTAGTGCTGGATCTCATCTCAGGTGCCCAACTTGCTTGCTCTTCAAGCCGGCTCCTTCTTGGGCAGTGCAATCTGATCTGGCAAAAGAAGCACAAGCTTTGAATGCAGACAGACCTGTTTCCAAGCCTGGTTATGCCACCTACTAACACTCAAACTTGGATGAGTTACTCCCTATCTCTTTAAGGATTCTATCAGTCAGGGTTCTGCAGAAAACAGATGACACCCTCGATTGGGTAATTTGAGGACAGTTTAATAAAAACACTATTTACAAAGGTGAGGGTAAGGTGTAGAATAACCATGAGGGATAGTGCAGTACTCTGGGACTAGGAACAATAGGGCCGTTGCCTCCCCTGGGCATAAAGGGGCCAGCGAGGGGAGTGGTTTTCAGAACCCGGAGACAGAGAGACTGTGTGCAGGGCACACCTGTATGGAAATGGGACCTTCAGTGCTGCCCACAGCCAGTCAGTGGAGGCTCTGCAGAGGGAACCAGGGAGCGTGCACTCACCTGCGGCCTGTCACCTCCTGCTGGTGCCAGGGGAAGCCAGAGGAGGAAGGAGCTTGCTGATGCTGTCTCAAAGGCTCAGCTTCTAGGGGTTGAGTGGAGAGCCAATCTGGAGGGGCAGACAGAAGATACCCAACACAGAGATTACATGAAAAAAGGTATAAAACCAGCCTGGCCCAGAGAAGACACTCCAACTCCCTGCTCAAATGTTTACTTAATAAAGAGAGCAAGTAACGGTGTAGAAAAGGTGCTGGGCTTTACTTTGCATAATAATGCACACAAGTCAGCCGGGAGCGGTGGCTCACGCCTGTAATCCTAGCACTTTGGGAGGCTAAGGCAGGCAGATTACCTGAGGTCGAGTCCGAGACTAGCGTGGCCAACAAGGGGAAACCCCATCTCTACCAAAAATACAAAAATTAGCTGGGCGTGGTGGTGTGCGCCTGTAATCTCAGCTACTTGGGAGGCTGAGGCAAGAGAATTGTTTGAGCCCGGGAGGCAGAGGTTGCAATGAGCAGATATCATGCCATTGCACTCCAGCCTGGGCAACAGAGCAAGACTCTGTCTCAGAAAAAAAAAAAAAATGCACACAAGTGTGTCTTAACACAAAACACTTTGGTTAACATTTATAATTTGCCCCCAGGAAGGAGGAAAGGCAAACGTATGCTGTTTGGGAGGCACACCACAGCGTAGAGCAGCATCCAATGGTAAATACATGGGAAAATATGGGAATTCTAGATATTCCCATGAAATCAACTGTTACAAACCCAAGTAATGGTTTCCAGGCAAATTGGACAGGTTTGTCTAGGCCTCCTGGAATTTGGATGCCACGTTTCTTTTCTTTTTTTCTTTCTTTCTTTCTTTTTTTTTTTTTTTTGAGACGGACTCTCCCCGTGTTGCCCAGGCTGGAGTACAGTGGTGCGATCTCAGCTCACTGAAACCGGGTTCAAGAGATTCTCCTGCCTCAGCCTCCTGGTCTCGAACTCCTGACCGCAAGTGATCCACCAGCCTTGGCCTCCCAAAGTGCTGGGATTACAGGTGTGAGCCACCACACCTGGCCTGGATGCCACGTTCCTAATCACCCTTTTCTTGGAACCCATCTGAGGATGTAACCATGTAAAAAGTGCCAGCAGAGGATTCAGAATAAATTTCAAAACCGCAGTGAGCCATGCTGCCTGACAAAAATGGGAACTGACATTTAGTTGTCACCTATCAGCTAACCTCAAGGAAGTGTCTGCTTCACTTCTGTCCTTCCCTTTTCTTATTGGAAATACAATATAAGGACATAAATGGTGTTTTTAAAAAAGAAAATCTCTTGTAATCCCACACCATCAACAGCTCCTTTTTTGCAAGTGTGCTTTCTGTTCTTTGCTCTTGTAACTTCATATTATTATATAGTTATAGACTACTTACTCCACTTGTGTTTTTCAACAAAGACACCACAAAGACTTCATAATTATGAATCTTTAATCACTGAGTAATATCCATTGAGAAGATATACTATAATTTATCAGTTATTCCCTCACTGTACATTTATTCTGCTCTCCCCCACCACCGATTTTTTTTTCTTTTATAAAAAAAGTTTTCAGCCGGGCATAGTGGCTGAAAAATAAAAGTTCTCATGGACTTTTAAAAAAATTTATATATATTTATTTTTTGAGTTGGGGTCTCCCTCTGTTACCCAGGCAGGAGAGCAGTGGCGCAACCATAGCTCACTGCAGCCTGGAACTCCTGGCCCCAAGCCATCTGTATTAGTCAGTTTTCATGCTGCTGATAAAGACATATCTGAGACTGGGAAGAAAAAGAGGTTTAAAGGATTTACAGTTCCACATGGCTGAGGAGGCCTCACAATCATGGTGGAAGGCAAGGAGGACCAAGTTACATCTTACACAGATGGCAGCAGGCAAAGAGAGAGCTTGTGCAGGGAAACTCCCATTTTTAAAACTAGCAGATCTCATGAGACTTATTCACTATCATAAGAACAGCATAGAAAAGACCTGCTCCCATGATTCAATTAATTACCTCCCACCTGGTCCCTCCCACCACATATGGACTGTAGTCTGGGTTCTGTATGAATTTGAACATATGGGAATTCAAAATGAGATTTGGGTAGGGACACAGCCAAACGATATTATTCAGCCGCTGGCCCCTCTCAAATCTCATGTCCTCACATTTCAAAACCAATCATGGCTTCCCAACAGTCCCCCAAAGTCTTAACTCATTTCAGCATTAACTCAAAAGTCCACAGTCCAACGTCTTATCTGAGACAAGGCAAGTCCCTTCCACCTGTGAGCCTGTAAAATCAAAAGCAAGTTAGTTGCTTCCTGGATACAATGGGGGTACAGGCGTTAGGTAAATACAGCTGTTCCAAATGAGAGAAATTGGTCAAAACAAAGGGGCTACAGACCCCATGGAAGTCTGAAATCCAGCTCCAAAATGATCTCCTTTGACTCCATGTCTCACATCCAGGTTATACTGATGCAAGAGGGGGATTCCCATGGTCTTTGGAAGCTCCACCTCTGTGGCTTTGGAGGTATAGCCTCCCTCCCAGCTGCTTTCATGGGCTGGCATTGAGTGTCTGCAGATTTTCCAGGCACATGGTGCAAGCTGTCGGTTGCTCTACCATTCTGGAGTGTGGAGGACAGTGGCCCTCTTCTCACAGCTCCACTAGGTGGTGCCCCAGTAGGGACTCTGTGTGCAGTCTTGAACCCCACATTTCCCTTCTGCACTGTCCTAGCAGAGGCTGTCCACGAAAGCCCTGCCCCTGCAGCAAACTTCTGCCTGGGCATCCAGGTGTTTCTATACATCTTCTGAAATCTAGGTGGAGGTTCCCAAACTCAGTTCTTGACTTCTATGCACTGGCAGGCTCAGTACCATGTGGAAGCTGCCAAGGCTTAGAGCTTGCACCCTCTGAAGCCATGGCCCAAGCTCTACATTAGCCCCTTTCAGCCATGGCTGGGTGGCTGGAGCAGCTGGAACATAGGGCACCAAGTTCCTAGGCTACACACAGCATGGGGACCCTGGGCCCACCTCAGCCTCCCATAGTGCTGGGATTATAAACCTGAGCTACTGTGCCCTACCATGGACATTTTGTTTTTTTTTGAGACAGACTGTCACTCTGTCACCCAGGCTGGAGTGCAGTGGCGCAATCTCAGCTCACTGCAACCTCCAACTCCCAGGTTCAAGCAATTCTCCTGCCTCAGCCTCCCAAGTAGCTGGGATTACAGGCACCTACCACCACGCCCGGCTAATTTTTGTATTTTTAGTAGAAATGGGGTTTCACTATGTTGGACCAGGCTGGTCTCGAACTCCTGGCCTCAGGTGATCCGCCTGCCTCGGCCTCCCAAAGTGCTGGGATTACAGGCGTGAGCCACTGTGCCCAGGAGGACATTTTTATACAACAAAGTTAGTCCTTCTTGAGGCTTATTTTCCCAGAATGGCTGCAGTGGGATTCAGGGTGTGAGATGGTCAGGGATCTGGCCTCTGCTCTAAGGGTTGGCCTCTCCCACCCCCACCCTCCCCAGCTCCCCACTGCAGCGTGATTCCTCCTCTCAGCACAGCCACTGCTGCACTCCAGCAGTGGCTCAGACAACACTGAATGGAAAAGCCCAAATTAGAGCAAAGGGGACCCCAAACAAAAATATTATTTGACTTTACAGAACCCAGAGCCCAAACACCTAAAAGTTTTTTAATCACAACACCCTACCCTGAAATCCCAGGACTAATTGAAAAGCAAAATTGGCTACGTGCAGTGGCTCATGCCTGTAATCCCAGCACTTTGACAGGCCGAGGTTGGAGGATCACTTGAGCCCAGGACATGGAGACCAGCCTAGGCAACATGGCAAAACCCTGCTTCTACAAAAAATGCATGGCCGGGCACAGTGGTGCACCTGTAGTCCCTGATACTTGGGAAGCTGAGGTGAGAGGATCTCGAGCCTGGGAGGCAGAGGTTGCAGTGCGCTTTGATCACACCACATACCATTGCACTCCAGCCTGGGCGACAGAGGAAGACCCTGTCTCAAAAAACAAAAAAAAAGAAAGAAAAGCAAAATTGGAGTTTCAGTCCCCTTTGCCCAGCAACCCAGCCCTGAACTACAGTGTCATGCACGTCCATGTGAAGAGACCACCAAACAGGCTTTGTGTGAGCAACAAGGCTGTTTATTTCACCTGGGTGCAGGCGGGCTGAGTCCAAAAAGAGAGTCAGCAAAGGGTGGTGGGATTATCATTAGTTCTGATAGGTTCCGGATAGGCATACAAAGTATCTTCTTCAGGGTGGGGGGTGGGGGGGCGGGGTGGAGGGGCCGGTGGTGGGGAGAATATTACAAAGTACCTTAAGGGTGGGGGAGAATATTACAAAGTACCTTCTTAAGGGTGGGGAGAATATATCATATCAGTTAGGATGGGGCAGGAACAAATCACAATGGTGGAATGTCATCAGTTAAGGCTATTTTCACTTCTTTTGTGGATCTTCAGTTGCTTCAGGCCATCTGGATGTATACTTGCAGGCCACAGGGGATATGATGGCTTAGTGTGGGCTCAGAGGCCTGACATTCCTGTCTTCATATATTAATAAGAAAAACAAAACAAAATAGTGGTGAAGTGTTGGGGCAGTGAAAATTTTTGGGGGTGGTATGGAGAAATAATGGGCGATGTTTCTCAGGGCTGCTTCGAGTGGGATTAGGGGCGGTGTGGGAACCTACAGTGGGAGAGATTAAACTGAAGAAAGATTTTGGAGTAAGGGGTGGTATTGTGGGGTTGTTAGAAGGAGGATTTGTCATATAGAATGATTGGTGATGGCCTGGATGCGGTTTTGTATGAATTGAGAAACTAAAAGGAAGACACGAAGTCCGAATAAGAGAAGGAGAAAAACCGGTATTAAAGGACTAAGAATTGGGAGGACCCAGGACATCTAAGGGGGCTCAGCATAATTATTTGCTTGGTTGGTTAGTTTTTGGGCTCTATCCTTGTGTTTTTTTATGTTGTCATATACCAGGCCAGATTGATTTAGGTAAAAACAACACTCTTCATTAAAAATATACAGAGTCCTCCTTTTTCAGCAATGAGTAAATTGAGGCCTAGGCGATTTTGGAGGAAAGAGAAATGCAAAGCCAGCAATTGTTTCTTAAAGAAGGATTAGAAATGGCTAGGAGAGAGTGAGTGAGATTGATAGTGTGGTGGAGATAGCTGGGGAGAGGTAGAGGGTGGCATAAGAATGGGAATGAGAATAAGAGTGAGTATAAAAGTAAAGAATAAGACTTCATCTGGGTGAAAGTGTTGGAGTGTGTCCTGTCAGCAAAGATCATCTATCCACTCCAAGAGGGAGTCAAGAGTGGAGGATTGGGGATAGATATTCACGATGGAAAGGAAATGAGAGGTTTTAAGAGGTGGGCTAACAGCTTGTAACCTACATGGAAGAGGTTATGAAATGATGACAGAATAGAATGGGCCTGTGAGGCTGGAAGGAGATATTTTCCTTAGTCCAAGAACCATTTGCCTTGTGTGGGAAGAGATTGATAGGTGGAAACTTCAGTAGGAGAGTAAATAGGAGTGATCAATGAGAAGGAGAAAAACTGGCCATGAGGGACAGAAGTTGAAATGCTAGCTGCTTCTTTAGCTAACTTATCAGCATAAGTGCTGCCCTGAGCGATAGGATCTGATGCCTTTTGATGGCCCCTGCAGTGAATGACTCCAGCTTCCTTTGGAAGTAAAGCAGCTTTGAGAAGAGTTTTTATTAAAGAGGCATTAATGATGGAGGACCCTTGCATAGTGAGGAAATTTCTTTCTGTCCATATAACAGCATGGTGGTGCAGGATATGGGAGGCATATTTAGAGTCACTATAATACTGCGAGATACAAGGAGAGGGCCCAAGTTAAGGCAATGAGTTCGGCTTGCGGAGAGGTAGTGGAGGCGGGCAGAGCGGTAGCCTTGATGATAGATGTGGAAGATACTATAGCATAGCCTGCCTTTGCTGGTGAGCGGCGATTAGTCCTGGTGGAACTGCCATCAATAAACCAAGTGTGATCAGGGTAAGGAACAGGAAAGAAAGAAATATGGGGAAATGGAGTGAATGTCAGGTGGATCAGAGAGACACAGTTATGAGAGTCAGGTGTGGTATCTGGAATAATGTGGGAGGCCGGATTAAAGTCTGGGCCAGGAACAATGGTAATTGTGGGAGACTCAACAAAGACTGAGTATAGCTGAAGGAGCTGGGGGGCAGAAAGTATATGCGTCAAGTGTGAGGAGGAAAATAGATTTTGAAAGTTATGGGAACTGTAGAGAGTAAGTGGAGCAAAGCTTGTGATTTTGAGGGCCTCTAAAAGTATTAAAGCAGTGGCAGCCACCGCCTGCAGACATGAGGGCTATGCTAAAACAGTAAGGTCAAGTTGTTTGGACAGAAAGGCTGCAGGGCGTGGTCCCCGCTCTTGTATAAGAATTCTGACCGCAGAGCCCTGTACTTTGGCTGTGTGTAATGAAAAGGGTTGGGATGAGTTAGGGAGAGCTAGCGTGGGAGCAGATTTTAGGGCTGTTTTTTAGGGAATGGAAAGGGGAGTGGGGAAAGGATTTAGGATTTATGGGGTCAGCTAGGTTTGTCTAGAACAGAATGGGTTGTGGAGGGAGGTATTGAGGATAGGAGAGTATATGGGTTTGGCACCACAGGGTGGATAGGCAAGATAATTTGGCTGATAAGGCACAGATCCTGAACTAACTTGTAAGACCTGTCTGGTTTTTGGACAGGTAAAATGGGGGAATTTTAAGGAGAGTTTGTAGGCTTTACAAGGCCATGCTGTAACAGGCAAGTGATAACAGGCTTTAATCCTTTTAAAGCATGCTGTGGGATGGGATATTGGCATTGAGCGGGGTGAGGGTGATTAGGTTTTAATGGGGTGGTAAGGGGTACATCATCCGTCACCAAGGAAGGAGTAGAGGTGTCCTATACTTGTGGATTAAGGTGGGGAGATACAAGGAGAGGATGTGAAGGAGGCTTTGAACTGGGGGAAAAGGCGGCAATGAGGTGTGGCTGTAGCCCAGGAATAGTCAGAGAAGCAGATAATTTAGTTAAAATGTCTCGACATAATAAGGGAGCTGGGCAGGTGGGGATAAATAAAAAGAAGTGCATAAAAGAATGTTGTCCAAATTGGCACCAGAGTTGGGGAGTTTTAAGAGGTTTAGAAGCCTGGCCATCAATACCCACAACAGTTATGGAGGCAAGGGAAACAGGCCCTTGAAAAGAAGGTAATGTGGAGTGGGTAGCCTCCGTATTGATTAAGAAGGGGATGGACTTACCCTCCACTATAAGAGTTACCCAAAGCATCCGTGATGGTCCAGGAGGCTTCTGAGGTGATCGGGCAGCGTCAGTCTTCAGCCGCTAAGCTGAGAAGATCTGGGAAGGAGTCAGTCAGAGAGCCTTGGGCCGGAGTTCCAGGGGCTCTGGGAGTGGCTGCCAGGTGAGTTCGACAGTCCAATTTCCAGTGGGGTCCCGCACAGATGGGACATGGCTTAGGAGCAATCCCAGGCTGCAGGCATTCCTTGGCCCAGTGGCCAGATTTCTAGCACTTGAAGCAATATCCTGGGGGAGATGGTCCTGGAGGAACGCCTGGCCACTGCAGTTCAGACGTTTTGAAGTTCTTGTGTGCTGGAGATGTGGCTGGGGTTTCTCTCACAGTGGAGGCAAGGAATTGCAACTCTGAAATACGTTGCTACTTGGCTGCCTCTATTCTATTATTGTACACCTTGAAAGCGAGGTTAATTAGGTCCTGTTGTGGGGTTTGAGGGCCGGAATCTAATTTTTGGAGCTTTTTCTAATGTCAGGAGCGGATTGGGTAATAAAATGCATATTGAGAATAAGACAGCCTTCTTCTGGGGTCTAGGACAATAAAATGTCTAAGGGTGGTTGTTGCCAAATGGGCCATGAACTGGGCTGGGTTTTTATATCTGATGGAAAAGAGCCTAAATGCTAACTGATTTGGGACAGGTCAGATAAAGAAAAAAGGAGCATTAACCTTGATTATGCCTTTAGCTCCAGCCACCTCTTTAAGAGGAAATTGTTGGGTAGGTGGGGAAGGGCTAGTCGAGGAACGAAACTGTAAGCCAGACCGGGTGTGAGGAGGGGAGGTGATAGAAAGATTCTAGGGTTGGGGAGCAGAGGCTGAGGAAGAATTGGGACCTGGCTCAGCCTGGCAAGGAGCAGCCTGGGGAGAAGGGGAAAGGTCAGATGAGTCTGTAGAAAAGAAGGATTCAAAGGACTCAGAGCTTGGGGTGGAGACTGAAGGAACAGACAGGAGAGAAAGAAGAAAGATTTGGGACGAGTCTCATTGGGAGCAGAGACTAGGGAAGGACCAATGTGTGAAAGAATGCCTGGACGTCAGGCACCTCAGACCATTTGCCCATTTTTCGACAAAAATTATCTAGATCTTGTAGGACAGACAAATCCAAAGTGCCATTCTCTGGCCACTTGGAACTACTGTTGAGTTTGTATTGGGGCCAAGTGGTATTGCAGAAGAAAATAAGGCGTTTAAGTTTTAGGTCAGGTGCGAGTTGAAGAGGGTTTAAGTTGTTGAGAACAGAGGCTAAGGGAGAAGATGGGGGAATGGAGGGCGGAAGTTTGCCCATAGTGAAGGAGGTAAGTTTAAAGAGAAAGGTAGAGACACGAAGGGGGTGGGTGAGTAGCCCTGGGCTGCAATGTGGGTGAGCAGCCAAAGCAGGAGTCTCTGCAATTGACTTGCCACCAAGGGAATGTGGGTGAATGACCAAGGCAGGCGTCCCTGCAGTGATCAGACACCAGTGAAATGTGGGTGAATAATCCGGCATCCCCGCAGTGATTAAACACCAAGGGAAGACTGTTTTCCCAAGTCCGTGACTGGCGCCGGAGTTGTAGGTCCGCGGACAAAATGTGTCTCCTTTGTCTCTACTAGAGAGGAAAAAGAACTGGAATTGGAATGACAGGGAGATTGAAGGGTAGTGAGAGAGGAAGATTGAAGGGTAGCGAGAGGCTGGAGAAGAGTGAAAAGACAGCTTACCTGATTTGAAATTGGTGAGATGTTCCTTGGGCTGGTTGGTCTGAGGACCCGAGGTCATAGGTGGATCTCCTCACAGAGTAAGGGCGAGGACAGGGGACCGTTCTCCCGAAGGAGTCCTCCTGTCCTGGGTCTTTGGCACCAAATGTCACACATGTCTGTGTGAAGAGGCCACCAAACAGGCTTTGTGTGAGCAACAAGGCTGTTTATTTCACCTGGGTGCAGGCGGGCTGAGTCCGAAAAGAGAGTCAGCAAAGGGTGGTGGAATTATCATTAGTTCTTACAGGTTTGGGATATGTGTACAAAGTACCTTCTTAAGGGCAGGGCGGGGAGAATATATCATATCAGTTGGGGTTGGGCAAGAACAAATCACAATGGTGGAATGTCGTCAGTTAAGGCTATTTTCACTTCTTTTGTGGATCTTCAGTTGCTTCAGGCCATCTGGATGTACACGTGCAGGTCACAGGGGATATGATGGCTTAGCTTGAGCTCAGAGGCCTGACATACAGTTTCCTTGGATTCAGGTTTCTGAACTTTAGACTTGTTGCACAGAGGTGATATTTTCCTGTGAGAGAGTCCAGGCCTGGGGATTTCTGAGTATTTTGTTTTCAACCTTGTGGAAGAAGGATGAACTGCATTTCTCTCTGTCATGGGTTTTCTGGCCCTAGTTAGTGACCTGATGAGGCTGGGATCCAGGCACCTGGGTATGAGCCTTGAGCACCTCTGAACCTCAAACAAGAGCAGGACTCATTCCTGGGTCCTGACCAAAGTGGAAGTCTGCAGGATCTCTGGGGGAGGTCCTTGGACAGGAAAAAGCATCAGAAGTAAGCCATGCATCTCCTCAGGGCCTGGCCCCACGAACCCCTGAGAAGGGATTGTCGACAAAAAGCATCAAACTGTAAAATATTTGAAGAGATTTATTCTGAGCCAAATATGAGTAACCATGGCCCGTGACACAGTCCTCAGGAGGTCCTAGGAACATGTGCCCCAGGTGGTCAAAGCACAGCTTGCTTTTACACATTTTAGAGAGGCATGAGCCATCAATCAAATACACTTAAGAAATACATTGGTTTGGTCCAGAAAGGTGGGACAACTCAAAGCGGGGGTTTCCAAACTATAGGTGAATTTAAACATTTTCTTTCTTTTTTTTGAGACGGAGTCTCACTTTGTTGCCCAGGCTGGAATGCAGTGGCGTGATCTGGGCTTACTGCAACCTCTGCTTTCCAGGTTCAAGCGATTCTCCCACCTCAGCTTCCCGAGTAGCTGGGATTACCATGCCCAGCTAATTTTTGTATTTTTAGATTTCGCCATGTTGGCTAGGCTGGTCATGAACTCCCGATCTCCAGTGATCCACCCACCTTGACCTCCCAAAGTGCTGAAATTACAGGCATGAGCCACCACGCCCGGCCGAATTTAAACATTTTCTGGTTGACAATTGGTTGAGTTTGTCTGAAGACCTCTGGGATTGATGGAAAGGGAATGTTCAGGTTAAGGTAAAAGGTTGTGGAGACCAAAGTTCTTTTAAGTCTTATAGTGACTGCCCTTAGAGACAATAGATGACAAATGTTTCCTATTCAGATCTCAGTTAATGTCTTTAGAATTAGGAGGGTCTGGAAGAAGAACGTCTAGCTATGTTAATAGAGATTCTTTACAGAGGCAATTTTCCCCTACAAATAACGGCTTTGCAGGGCCATTTCAAAATATGGCAAGTAAACATGTTTTGGGGTAAAATATTTTGATTTTCTTCTTTTTCTTGTAATATTATGCCAGAGTCAGGTTGGAAAGTAAATCATGGCCCGGTGTGGTGCTTCAGGCCTGTAATCCCAGCACTCTGGGAGGCCGAGGTGGGTGGATCACCTGAGCTCAGAAGTTCATGACCAGCCTGGCCAACGTGGTAAAACCCTGTCTCTACAAAAAAATACAAAAATTAGACAGGAGTGGTGGTGGGCGCCTGTAATCCCAGCTGCTTGGGAGGCTGACGCAGGAGAATCACTTGAACCTGGGAGGTCGAGGCTGCAGTGAGCCAAGATCGTGCTACTGCACTCCAGCCTGGGTGACAGAGCAAGGCTCCGTCTCAAAAAAAAAGAAAAAAGAAAAAAGAAAATAAATCATGATATATAGGGTTAAATAAAACCCATCTGATGAAAATTTATGATTTGTAGGGCATGACTCCCCAGGCCCCTTAGATAGGAATCTGGGCAGCCGGGCGTGGTGGCTCACGCCTGTAATCCCAGCACTTTGGGAGGCAGAGGCGGGCGGATCATGAGGTCAAGAGATCGAGACCATCCTGGCTAACACAGTGAAACCCCGCCTCTACTAAAAATACAAAAAATTAGCCGGGCATGGTGGCGGGCGCCTGTAGTCCCAGCTCCTCGGGAGGCTGAGGCAGGAGAATGGCGTGAACCCGGGAGGCGGAGCTTGCAGTGAGCCGAGATCACGCCACTGCACTCCAGCCTGGGTGACAGAGAAAGACTCCGTCTCAAAAAAAAAAAAAAAAAAAGGAATCTGGGCAAGATAAAAAAAAAAATCAGAGTTTAGTCTTCAGGCTGCAGTGCTTGTCTGGTCATGCGTGTGCCTGTTGGTGTCAGAGTGAGCAGGAACTCTCAGGGAGCTGCATTTAGGGATTGCCCTGTCCTTCAACTTCTGCTTGGCCTTGGCCTCAACTGTCCTGTGCTGAGAGCTGGCTCCTGAGAAGACCCTGCACCCAGTGTAGTGCTTGGGTAGAGCTGACCTGGCAGAGGCCCTTAAATCCTGAAGTTTCCCACATGGCTCAAAAAGAAATCCCTCCAGAGGCCTCTAAGAATATGGATGTGTGGGCCAGGATTGAAGCAAAGACAACTACCTTCTCTTTCCCTTTGGGGAATCCTGGCACTGACCAGCCTGCTCTGTTCTGGGATTTGTCTTGTCAGCTGTGCATGTCTCATTTAAGGAGCTTGGGTCACTTCAGACAGAGGATACTCTTGTAACCACCCAATGGGTTCACTTTGCCCACTGCCTAGACAGAGCCAATTTATCAAGACAGGGGAGTTGCAATAGAGAAAAAGTAATTCACACAGAGCGGGCTGTGCAGGAGACTGGAGTTTTATTATTACTCAAATCAGCCTCCCTGAGCATTGGAGGATCAGAGTTTTTAAGGACAATTTGGTGGGTGAGGGGAGGGCAGCCAGTGAGTCAGGAGTGCTGATTGGTTGGGTTGGAGATGAAATAATAGGGAGTTGAAGCTGTTCCTGGGTGGGGACCTTAGATGAGCCACTTTATAGATCTGGGTGGTGCCAGCTGATCCATCAAGTGCAGGGTCTGCAAAATATCTCAAGCACTGATCTTAGGCTTCACAATAGTGATGTTATTCCCAGGAGCAATTTGGAGAGTCAAGTAGCCTCCAGCTGCATGACAATGGCAGGGCAAGTCCCCAGGCAAGAAGGGAGTTTGTTTTGGGAAAAGGCTGTTAATCATCTTTGCTCTAAACTATAAACTAAGTTCCTCCCCAGAATTAGTTCAGCATACCCCCAGGAAAGAAGGGGGACAGATTGGAGGTTAGAAGCAAGATGGAGTTGGTTAGTTCAGATCTCTTTCACTGTCTCAGTTATAATTTTGCAGTGGTGGTTTCACTCTCCCCCTACCACTTCCATGGCTGAAGGGCCTGTGATGTCAAGTCTGGGGGAAATGCTGCTGGACCAGGTCACACAGGCTCCTTCTAGCGAAGGATTTCTTCCACACCATGGTCTGAGCTGAAAGATGATTCAGGAGTACTTTGCATTTCTGGAAGGAGAGGATGCAATTAGGCAAATCCTGAAAATGAGATACATGTCATCAATACTAAAGACTGTGTATCTAAGCTAAGTCCTGCAATGCTGGGGAAACATTTTGCTTTGTTTAAAAAAAAAAGTGCTTGGGCCTCGGAAGGGCCAGGATGTGGAGTGGAAAGCTCAGGGTCAGATGGGCTTAGGTGTGCATCTCATGCTTTGTGAGGTTCATGCATTAAAATGATACCACAATAAGATACCTCCTCTTTTTCTTTCTTTCTTTTTTTTTTTTTTTTGAGACAAGAGTCTCGCTCTTGTTGCCCAGGCTGGAGTGCAATGGCGTGACCTTGGCTCACTGCAACCTCCACCTCCCAGGTTCAAGCAATTCTCCTGCCTCAGCCTCCCAAGTAACTGGGATTACAGGCACCCGCCACCACACCCATCTAATTTTTTGTATTTTTAGTAGAGACAAGGTTTCACCATGTTGGCCAGGCTGGTCTCAAACTCCTGACCTCAGGTGATCCACCCACCTCTGCCTCCCAAAGTGCTGAGATTCCAGGCATTAACCACTGCACCTCTTCATCCCCATTAGGACAGTTATTATTTTTACAAAGTGTTGGTGAAGATAATAGAGAAATTAGAACTCTCATACATTGCAGTGTGAAAGGAAAATAAATCCTGGGGCCCCTAAATCTCTAAGCTAAAGGGAAAAGTCAAACTGGAAACTGCTTAGGGCCTACCTGCCTCCCATTCTATTCAAAGTCATCCCTCTGCTCACTGAGATAAATGCATATCTGACTGTCTACTTGAGACTAATCAGATACTCAAAAGAATGCAACCATTTGTCTCTCTTTTTTGGGGGGAGGGGGGACAGAGTTTTGCTCTTGTTGCCAGGCTGGAGTACAATGGTGTGATCTCAGCTCACTGCAACCTCCATCTCTTGGGTTCAAGCAATTCTCCTGCCTTAGCCTCCCAAGTAGCTGGAATTACAGGTGCCCGCCACCATGCCTGGCTAATTTTTTGTATTTGGAGTAGAGACGGGGTTTCACCATGTTGGCCAGGCTGGTCGCGAGCTCCTGACCTCAGGTGATCCACCTGCCTAGGCCTCCCAAAGTACTGGGATTACAGGCTTGAGCCACCACGCCCGGCCCATTTGTCTCTTATCTACCTATAACCTGGAACCACGCTTCCTGGCTTTGGCTTTGGTTTTCCCACTTTTGATTCCAGTTGTCCCACCTTTACTTCCAGTTGTCCCACCTTTACTTCCAGTTGTCCCGCCTTTCCAGACCGAACCAATGTTCATCTCGCCTATACTGATTGATGCCTCATGACTCCCTAGAATGTATAAAACCAAACTGTGCTCTGACCACCTTGGGAACATGTCGTCAGGATCTCCTGAAGGTGTGTCATGGGCACACGTCCTCAACCTTGGCAAAATAAACTTTCTAAATTAACTGAGACCTGTCTCAGATTTTCAGGGTTCACAGCAGGTGGGGATATAAAAAGATGAGCTGCTATGGAAAATAGTATGAGTTTTCTTTTTTAGATAAAGTTTTGCTCTTGTTGCCCAGGCTGGAGTGTAATGACACAATCTCAGCTCACCGCAACCTCCGCCTCCCGGGTTCAAGCAATTCTCCTGCCTCAGCCTCCCAAGTAGCTGGGATTATAGGCATGTGCCACCACGCCTGGCTAATTTTGTATTTTTAGTAGAGACAGGGTTTCTCCATGTTGGTCAGGGTGGTCTCAAACTCCCGACCTAAGGTGATCCGCCTGCCTCGGCCTCCCAAAGTGCTAGAATTATAGGCATGAGCCACTGCATCCAGCTGAGAGTTTCTTAAAAAGTTAAATATAGCATTACCATATTATTCAGCAAGTCACTTCTGGGTAGAAACTCAAAATAATTGAAAGCAGGCCGGGCGCAGTGGTTCACTCCTGTAATCCCAGCACTCTGGGAGGCCGAGGAGGGCGGATCACCTGAGGTCAGAAGTTCAAGACCAGCCTGGTCAACACAGTGAAACCCCGTCTCTACTAAATATACAAAAATTAGCTGGGAGTCGTGGCGGGTGCCTGTAATCCCAGCTACTCGGGAGACTGAGGCAGGAGAATCGCTTCAACCCAGGAGCCGGAGGTTGCAGTGAGCCGAGATCGCGCCATTGAGCTCCAGCCTGGGCAACAAGAGCGAAACTCCATCTCAAAAAAAAAAAAAAAAAAAAAGCAAGCATATAGAGGTTACCAGGGGTTAGAGGGAAGGAATGTGGGGTTACTGTTTAATGGGTGAGGGGTTTTTGGAATAAGGAAAAAATTCTGAAAATGGATAGTGGTGATGGTTGAACAACATCGTGAATGTACTTAATGCCACTTAACTGTACACTTAAAAATGGTTAAAATGAAGGCCAGACATGGTGGCTCACACCTGTAATCCCAGCACTGTGGGAGGCTGAGGCAAGCGGATCACCTGAGGTCAGGAGTTCGAGACCAGCCTGGCCAACATGGAGAAACCCCATCTCCACTAAAAATCTCCAATAAAAATTAGCCTGGTGCATTAGGAGATATACCCAATGCTAAATGACGAGTTAATGGGTGCAGCACACCAACATGGCACGTGTATACATATGTAACAAACCTGCACGTTGTGAACATGTACCCTAAAACTTAAAGTATAATAAAAAAAAAATTAGCCGGGTGTGATGGCATGGGCCTGTAGTCCCAACTACTCGGGAGGCTGAGGCAGAAGAATCGCTTGAACCCAGGAGGCAGAGGTTGCAGTGATCTGAGATCTTACCACTGCACTCCAGCCTGGGCGACAGAGCAAGACTCCATCTCAAAAAAAAAATGGTTAAATGATATTAATAAAATTCATATTATGTATATTTAATCACAATAAAAAAGATATCAATCCTTTCTTTGTAGTTTTCTTGGGGATTTGGGAAGAGTGAAATTAGCTACACATATTTAATTCACTTTTTTTGTTGTTGTTTTGTTTGAGACGGAGTCTTGCTCTGTTGCCCAGGCTGGAGTGCAATGGCACAATCTCCGCTCACTGCAGCATTTGTCTTCTGGGTTCAAGTGATTCTTCTGCCTCGGCCTCCCAAGTAGCTGGGATTACAGGCACACATCACCACGCCTGGCTAATTTTTGTATTTTTGGTGGAGATGGGGTTTCTCTGTGTTGGCCAGGTTGGTCTGGTGATCCACCCACCTTGGTCTCCCAAAGTGCTTGGGATTACAGTTGTAAGCCACCGCGCTCAGACAGCAGCAGTCTTTTGTCATACACACGAGAAGAGCAATCACACACACCTTCATCCCTGAAGTCCTTTTTCCTGTCTTTTGAATTTCTTTCAAATTTCGAAAGCAATATAGGAATTCATGATTGTTACCAAAAAAAATCTCAAATTGTAACTGTGTGAAAAAAAGATCACTTTCACACATTCTCCATCCTTTTTCCACCTTTACATTTCAACCTGCAGTCACCAACTGGCTGAAACCATCACTGGCTTGTACCTGTCAAAGCTTCCCAGCAAGCTTCAGATAGCAGCCTGAGCCAGGACCCAGGTCTAGCAGCCTCTTCTTAGAAAAGCCTCTGGTGTTCTCGTGTCTGACTCCCACCCCTACTGCGCCTTGTCTCTCTCTCTCTCTCTCTCTCTCTCTCTCTCACACACACACACACACACACACACACACACACACACCAGCAGCAGCAGCAGTCTATTGTAAGATTGAAGGAACTGCTGTATCCTCTTTTCTCTCTCTCTCTTTTTTTTTTTTTTTTTGAGACGGAGTCTGTCTCTGTCACCCAGGCTGGAGTGCATTGGCACGATCTTGGCTCACTGCAACCTCCATCTCCCAGGTTCACGTGATTCTCCTGCCTCAGCCTCCCAAGGAGCTGGGATTACAGGTGCGTGCCACCACGCCCGGCTAAGTTATGTAGTTTTTGTAGAAACGGGATTTCACCATGTTGGCCAGGCTGGACTTGAACTTCTGACCTCAAGTGATCTGACCACCTCGATCTCCCAAAGTGCTGGGATTACAGGTGTGAGCCACCACGCCTGGCCCTGTATCCTCTTCTCTCTTTCTTTTCCACCAGTGGTATCAGTCTGGAGATTCCATATAGTTTGTGGGTTCCTTTGTTTGCTTGAATTTCCAGATGGAGAATCCCTGACACAATCCAGATGCATCAACCAGGGTTATTAGTTGCAAGCAAAGCATCCGGAACCAACTCCAACAGGTTTAAGAAATGGAATGTATAGAATGAATACGAAAAAAACTGGAAACTCAGGCCTGGGAAATAGGTCCAGGGGAAGCTATGCAGCCAGAGTACAGCAAAAATTATGCCATAAAATGAGACCAGTGATAGGAAATAGGGCCAGTGCTGCAACTACTTGGTGTCAACAGGGGACCCGGGACATCACTGCTGGACCCACTGTCAGCCCTGGACTCCCTAACATTTGTTCCAGGACATCTCCACTGCCCTACAACGTGGATGGTGCCCTTGCTGTGGTTGATCATCCTAGAAAGGATTCTTTGCAATACAAGATCCCAGTTCAGATCTGGGCAGGATGCAGTTGATTGGTCAAGGCTGTATTATAGATGCCCATTTTCTATGTGCAAAAAAGCTGGAAAAGCAAGTGTCTGGTCTTACGGCTTCTATAGTTGAAGATTAAGGTCTTGTCTCCCAACAAAAGGCAGCCTTAAAAGTCAATACTCCATTTCACCCATCTTCACTGATATTTTCTCCAGCCTCCTGAGTTACTGTACTAATCACTGCCCAGACATTACATTTCCTTGTAGTGCACAGCAGAGTTCCTGAAGATTTAAAGAAAAAAATCAACTGAAGAATGATTTCTGATGCTGACAATGAAAGACACTTGCTTGGATGGAGGCAGGGTGTGCACATGTGTGTGTATTTGTGTGTGTGTAATAATTTTATGGCATTCTCACTATATTTGATATTATTATTGATTTTTTTCAGGTTGTTATTTTTATTTTTAGAGACAAGCTCTCGCCCTGTTGCCCAGGCTGGAATGCAGTGGCATGATCATAGCTCACTGCAGCCTCAGCCTCTCAGGCTCAAGTCATTCTCCTGCCTCAACTTCCCACATCACTGAGAGAACAGGCATGAGCCATTGTGCCCAGCTGGTATTTTAAATTTACATTTTTGTATAGGCAATATACTCACCTGGTTCAATATAAAAATTTTCATTCTTAGAAGTCTTGCTTGCACCCAAGTCACCATCCAGCCCATTACCTCCCTACTGGCCTTTGGTAGAGAACTACTTTATTGTGAATCTTTCCAATTTTTGTTTGTTTTGTTTTGTTTTGTTTTGTTTTGTTTTGTTTTTATAGAGACTGGGTTTTGCCATGTTGCCCAGGCTGGTCTCGAAGTCCTAGACTCAAGCAAAGTCCACCCACCTTGGCCTCCCAAAGTGCTGGGATTACAGGCCTGGTTTTCTCCAGTGTTTGTTTATGCAAATAAAAGAAAATATAAGTAAGTATGTATTCTTATTTCCCTGTCTTTCTTACAAAAACAGGTAGCATGTTATTTTTACTGTTCTGCATCCTGCCTTTACATTTAACAACATTTTCTTGAGAAAAAAATTTTTGGGGGGGATAAGGGTTTCACTCTATTGCCAGGGTGGAGTGCAGTGGCATGATCTTGGTTCACTGCAATCACTGCCTCCCAGGCTTGCATGATCCTCCCACCTCAGCCTCTCAAGTAGCTGGGACTACAGGGAGTGCACCACCATGCCCAGCTGATTTTTGTAGTTTTTGTAAAGGCAGGGTCTCACTATGTTGCCCAGGCTGGTCTTGAACTCCTAGGCTCAAGTGATCCGCCCGCCTTGGCCTCCCAAAGTGCTGGGATTACAGGCATGAACCACTCTGCTCAGCCAATAAATTTTTATATCGATATATAAAAAACTTTTATTACTTTTTTACTTTAAAAGTACTTTCATCTGGGCCGGATGTGGTGGCTCACACCTGTAATCCCAGCACTTTGGGAGGCCGAGGTAGGCAGATCACCTGAGGTCAGGAGTTTGAGACCAGCCTGACCAACATGGTGAAACCCCATCTCTACTAAAAATACAAAAATTAGCCTGGCCTGGTGGCATGCGCCTGTAATCCCAGCTATTCAGGAGGCTGAGGCAGGAGAATCACCTGAACCTGGGAGGCAGAGGTTGCAGTGAGCCCAGATTGCACCACTGCACTCCAGCCTAGGTGATAGAGTGGGACTCCTTCTCAAAAAAAAAAAAGAAAAAAAACACAAAAAACTTTCATCTACTATATAGATGAACTATGGTTTATTCAACCAAACAGAACAGATGGACGTTTAGGAAGTTTCCAGTATTTTGCTATTAAAAACAATTTAGCAATAAGTAAACTTTATCTTATAGTAAATTGTAGTAAATATAGTAATACAGTAAATAATCTTATAATAAGTAAATAAATTTTTTAAAAACCCAGTCTTACAGTAAATACACATTATTTTGTCCATATGCAGGAATATCTGTCAGATGCATTTTTAGAAGTGGGACTGCAAGGTTAAAGTCTGTGTACATTGTCATTTTGGTGGATAGTGCCAAATTTCCTTCTATGGGGGAGGTGCCAGTTTGCACCCAGACCAGCTATGTATGAGGCCTGTTTTCCCACAATCTCAAAGTGTGCTGTCAGCCTTTTGAATTTTTGCCAATCTGATAGGTGAGAAACTTAATTTCAGTGTGGGTTAGATTTGCATTTATCGGCTGATGCCTGTAATCCCAGCACTTTGGGAGGCCAAGGCGGGCAGATCACTTCAGGTCAGGAGTTCGAGACCAGGCTGGCCAACGTGATGAAACTGGTCTCTACTAAAAATACAAAAATTGGCCTGGCACAGTGCCACGTGACTGTAGCCCCAGCTACTCAGGAAGCTGAGGCATGAAAATCGCTTGAACCCAGGCAGCAGAGGTTGCAGTGAGCCAAGATCACTCCATTGCATTCCAGCCTGGGCGATGGAGCAAGACTCCACCTCAACAAAAAAAAAAAAGAAAAAGAAAAAAAAAAAAGAAAAAGCATGCACATAGTTTTTAGAAAAAGCAACGCAAATTACCCTTAAACCTGTGAAAAAATGTTTAGCTTCACTCATAACAAGAGAAATGCAAACTTTTTTTTTTTTTGAGATGGTGTCTCCCTCCGTTGCCCACTGGAGTGCAGTGGAATGATCTTGGCTCATTGCAACCTCTGCTGCCTGGGTCCAAGCGATTCTCCTGCCTCAGCCTCCTGAGTAGCTGGGACTACAGGTCACTATGCCCAGCTAATTTTTGTATTTTTAGTAGAGATGGGGTTTTGCAATGTTGGCTGGGCTGGTCTCGAACTCCTGACCTCAAGTGATCCGCCTGCCTCAGCCTCCCAAAGTGCTGGGATGACAGGTGTGAGCTACTGTGCCCGCCCTGCATTTTTCTATAAAACTAGTGGTCTTTGACTTCTTAATTTCTAGAGGTTCTTTTGTTGTTGGTGGTGTTTTTTTTGTTGTTGTTTGTTTTTTTGTTGTTGTTTTTTGGTTTTGGGGTTTTTTTTTTGAGAGAGAGAGAGATAGGGTCACACTATGTTGCCCATGCCGGTCTTGAACTCCTTGAGTCAAGAGATCCTCCTGCCTTGGCCTCCCAAAGAGCTGGGATTACAGGAGTGAACCACTGTGCCCAACCATTTTTTTTTTATTGTTAGGTTGTAAGAATTCTTTATATATTCTGGAAATAGTCTTTATCAGACATATATAATTTGCAACTATTTTCTCCCATTTTATGGATTGATTTTTCACCTTTGTTTGTTTGTTTGTTTGTTTGAGTCAGAGTCTTGTTCTGTCGCCCAGGCTGAAGTGCAGTGGCACAATCTTGGCTCACTGCAACCTCCGCCTTCCCAGTTCAACTGATTCTCGTGCCTCAGCTTCTCGAGTAGTGGGATTATAGGCATGTGCCATCACACCCAGCTAATTTTTGTATTTTTGGTACAGACGGGGTTTCACTTTATCGGCCAGGCTGGTCTCAAACTCCTGACCTCAAGTGATCCACCTGCCTCGGCCTCCCAAATTGCTGGAATTATAGGCATGAGCCACCATGCCCCCTTGACTTTTCACATTTTTGATGGTGTTTTTTAAGTTCCAAAAGTTTTAAATTTTGATGATGGCCAATTTCTCCTTTTCTCTTTGCTTGCTTATGCTTTCGGTGTTATATCTAAGTAAGCATTTCTTTTTTCTTTTCTTTTCTCTTTTTTTTTTTTTTTTTTTTTTTTTGTGATGATGTTTCGCTCTTGTTGCCCAGGCTGGAGTGCAATGGTGCAATCTCGGCTTACTGCAAACTCCGCCTCCTGAGTTCAAGCGATTCTTGTGCTTCAGCCTCCTGAGTAGCTGGGATTACAGGTGCCCGCCCTGATGCCCGGCTAATTTTGTATTTTTAGTAGAGACGAGGTTTCGCCATGTTGGCCAGGCTGGTCTCAAACTCCTGACCTCAAGTGATCCACTCTCCTCAGCCTCCCAAAGTGCTGGCATTACAGGCGTAAGCCACCACGCCCAGCCTGTAATTTTTTTCTTAATAGCCAGACATAATGCACTAGGTGAAAGGAGCTTCTGTAAATGGGCCTTTAGTCCTGTGGTGGTAAGGTTTATAAGGAGGGGAAGTATTCTATAGTCCTATGTTTCCATCTCAGTCTTTTAGTGAGCTGGTTTTTCTGGACTGGGAACTTCAGATGTTTCTCTCTCTCTCTCTCTTTTTTTTTTTTTAGACTAGTTCTTGCTCTGTCACCCAAGCTGGAGTGCAGTGGCACAAACACATCTCACTGCAGCCTCGACTTCCTGGGCTGAAGCAGTCCTCTTGCCTCAGCCTCTGAGTAGCAGGGACTACAGGTGTGTGCCACCATGCCTGGCTAATTTTTTAATTTTTATTTATTTTTGAGACAGAGTCTCACTTGTCACCAGGCTGGAGTGCAGTGGCACGCTCTCGGCTCACTGCAACCTCTGCTCCCGGGTTCAAGCGATTCCCCTGCCTCAGCTTCCCCAGGGACTTCAGGCTAATTTTTTGCATTTTAGTAGAGACAGGGGGTTCACCATGTTGGCCAGGATGGTCTCGATCTCCTGACCTCATGATCAGCCCATCTCAGCCTCCCAAAGTGCTGGGATTACAGGCGTGAGCTACCGCGCCTGGCCAATTTTTAAATTTTTTATAGAGACAGGGTCTCACTATGTTGCTCAGGCTGGTCTTGAACTCCTGGGCTCAAGCAATCCTCCCACCTTGGCCTCCCAAAGTGCTAGGATTATAGGGGTGAGCCAGTGTGCGCGACCTTCTCAGTTTTTTTCTCCCCCCTTCGGTGGGAGAGGGTGGCTAGAGTGGGCTTGGATTGGGTATTTGCTACAGTCTTGTTGGATTAGTTGCAAGTTTTCTGCCATGTAATTAGCCCATTTATGCCTGAGGTTGCAATTTTTTGAATTTTTGCAATGAGACCGTGGCGATGACCTTAAGAAGTAAGATATAAACAAGTCCCACATGCTTGTTTATAATGGAACACTAGGCATAAATAATCAGGTAAGGAGACCTATGTCATTTATTTATTTATTTTTAAAGACAGGGTCTCCCTCTGTTGCCCAAGCTGGTCTCAAACTCCTGGCCTTAAGCAATCCTCCCTCCTCAGCCTCCTGAGTAGCTTGAATTACAGGCATGAGCCACCATGCCCAGCTCCTGCATAATTTAGAACAGTTGTCTTACTGAAGTCTTCACCCATCTCTGGGTCTATTCCCTCTTGGTGAACTTGGTCCTGTACTTCAATAGCTTTCTCACAGTCATCTATCAATATTATGCCTTCAGTTTCCACCAGAAGACTTCATTTTTTGCTCCATAAGTTATTGGTAATCAAGTTTTATATCCCTCATCTTATTTGAAATATCGGTTGAATTCACCATTTTATATGTCTTTCAAAATATTAACTTACTTTTTCTTTTTGGGGGCTTAATTATTTTTTTCTGGTGGAGCTGTATCTATCCATTAGAAAAACATGACCTATTAGCATAAAAGTGAAGTCGAAAGCTTGTTTTGAGCTTAAAAGCTGAGCTATTCATTGAGTGCTCCACTGTCAACTGAGATGTAGGAGTATTTCCCGAACTGGTTGCACAGCCACGGGACCCTTAGGCAGAGAGCCCTGCTCCTGAACCCACAGAGTCTAAGGCCACAACTGGCATTGCCTCCCCGCCAGCACCCATGCTGGGCAGATGCTTGCCCAGTCTCTTTTTGTTGTCTTGGAGCAGGGGTCAGTAAACAACAGCCTGTGGGCCAAATCTGGCCTGCTGCCTTTTTGCAAATAAAGTATTATTGGAACACAGTCACATCCATTCTTTTACATATAATTTATGACTGCTTTCATGCCACAGTGGCAGAGCTGGGCAATTGTAATAGAGATCAAAAGGCCTGCGAAGCCTAAAATATTTAGTATCTGGCCCTTTACAAAAAAAGTTTGCCAAGTCCTGTTGTGGAGAACTGGAACTGTGAAGGAAGCTTGGTAGTTTCCTCTTTCTAGGCTGTTCCAAAGCCCTAACCTGGCATGAAGGGGCCAGCTGGGGTGTGGTCATGGCCCTTCTGGCTCTTTCATCCTGGCTGATTCCCATTTCCTACTTGCTAACAAAGAACAGTGTCTTAGTTTGAGTAGCCCCAGGAGCTGACTCTGAGACAAGGATTTAAGTGAAACCAAGTGATTTTAGAAGGGATCCCTTGATACCTCAGTAAGGGAAAGGGGAAATGAGACAGGGAAGGAAGTCAACGAAGAGTTTGTCATGAAGCAAGTTACCACTGTGGGCAGCTGGAGCTCTGTTCCCCTATGGAGCCCTGGAAGCCAGTGTGAAACACTGCTTCAGTGCTATTGCACCTGAAGAGAGAGGAAGCTGGGATATTTATAAACCAGCTCCTGCCAGTGATTAAGTAAAGGGATGCTGCCAGGAGGCATTAATTGTCTGTCACTCTTGGCCTATGTTTTTGTTTTGTTTTTTTTTTTTTAGTTGTTGTTGTTGTTGTTTTGCTTTTTTGAGGCAGAGTCTTGCTGTCACCCAGGCTTGAGTGCAATGGTGCGATCTTGGCTCACTGCAACCTCCAACTCCCAGGTTCAAGTGATTCTCCTGCCTCAGCCTCCCGAGTAGCTGGGATTACAGGTGTGCACCACCACGCCTGGCTAATTTTTTGTATTTTTAGTGGAGACAGGGTTTCACCATGTTGACCAGGCTGGGCTTGAACTCCTGACCTCAGGTGATCTGCCCACCTCAGCCTCCCAAAGTGCTGGGATTATAAGCATGAGCCACCATGCCCAGCCACTTCTGGCCTGTTTTGAAGAAGAGAGAATGCTCTCAGGCAATTCGATGCAAGTTCTGGCATTTGGAAGTCAAGCCAGCAAGCAATGAAATGGTAAAGGTTAAGAGGGTGCAGGCAGGATACCAACAGCATCTGCTACAAGAAAATACAGATACCAAAGTGGCTGTGCCCAAAGATCCTCAGGGTGGAGAGTATGATTTCCAGAAAAAGCAAAACAAAACAAAAGCAAAAATCCTCTGGAAACATCTAGTTGAAGAGGTCTGAGTGTGCATTTCTGTCTGTGTGATCCTGGCCAACCTCCCTCTACTCACAGAGGTTCAAGGTGCCTATCTGTGAGGCTGAAATGATATGGCTGGCCTCCTCCCTGACCTGGGGAGGGGCACGTGACTCAAAAGACGTTCAAAGATATAGGCACTCAAGTGTTGGAATGTTTATTTTCTCCCCAAATGGGAGAAAATTCTATTATTTTTACTGGTAACAAGAAGTTATATTGTAAATGGGGTTTTGTTTGTTTTTAGACGGAGTCTTGCTCTGTTGCTGAGGCTGGAGTGCAGTGGCATGATCTCGGCTCACTGCAACCTCCACCTCCCAGATTCAAGCAATTCTCCTGCCTCACCCGCCTACCCCCAGTAGCTGGGACTACAGGTGTGCACCACCATGCCCAGCTAATTCTTGTATTTTTAGAAGAGACGGGGTTTCACCATGTTAGCCAGGCTGGTCTTGAACTCCTGACCTCAAGTGATCCGCCCACCTCGGCCTCCCAAAGTGTTGGGATTACAGGCATGAGGCACCACACCTGGCCATAAATGGTATTTTTAAAATCCAGAGCTGTAGAAAGTAGAAAATTCTAAATGCACCCCAAAGCTAGCCACGTCTAAATGTTTAATGTAACTTTCCAGATGTTCAGTATATATACAAATTTATATTTTTACATATAAACATAATAGTTTTGTTTTTTGGGGGGTGGGGGATGGAGTTTCACTCTTGTTGCCCAGGCTGGTGTGCAATGGCACGATCTCAGATCACTGCAACCTCCGCCTCCCAAATTCAAGCAATTCTCCTGCCTCAGCCTCCCACGTAGCTGGGATTACAGGCATGTGCCACCATGCCTGGCTAATTTTTTGTATTTTTAGTAGAGATAGGGTTTCACCATGTTGGCCAGGCTGGTCTCAAACTCCTGACCTCAGGTGATCCACCTGCCCCAGGCTTCCAAAGTGCTCGGATTACAGGTGTGAGCCATCTGGGCCATAGGGAACATAATAATTTTTTTTTTTTTTTTTTTGAGATGGAGTTTCACTCTTGTTGCCCAGGCTGGAGTGCAAATGCAATAGCATGACCTTGGCTCACTGCAACCTCTGCCTCCTGGGTTCAAGCAATTCTCCTGCCTCAGCCTCCCGAGTAGCTGGGACTACAGGTGTGTGCCACCACACCCGGCTGATTTTTTTGTTGTTGTTGTTGTTTTAATAGAGACAGGGTTTCTCCATGTTGGTCAGGCTGGTCTCGAACTCCCAACCTCAGATGATCCAACCACCTCAGCCTCCCAAAGTGCTGGGATTACAGGCATGAGCCACCACGCCATGCCACATAACAATTTTTAATCTGCTTTTTTTTTGTTATTTGACAATAGACTGAGGGCATATTGGCATACATTGAAGGATATGCATGTACCTTATACTTTTAATAACTACATATGACCGGGCGTGGTGGCTCATGCCTGTAATCCCAGCACTTTGGGAGGCCAAGGCGGTGGATCACCTGAGGTCGGGAGTTCGAGACCAGCCTGGCCAACATAGTGAAACCTCGTCTCTACAAAAAAAAACAAAAAACAAAAAAACCAGCCAGGTGTGGTGGCATGTGCCTGTGGTCCCAGCTACTTGGAAGGCTGAGGCAGGAGAATTGCTTGAACCCGGGAGGTGGAGGTTGCAGCTAGCCAAGATCGTGCCACTGCACTCCAGCCTGGGCGACAGAGTGAGACTCTGACTCAAAAAAAAAAAAAAAAAATATGATTTCATCGTATGATTGGTTACACCATAGTTTAACCAGTCTACTGTTGATGAACTTTTATGATTTTTCAATTAGCCTATATAATAAATAATAATACAAGGAACATTCTGGCATATTTATTTTTGGTTAGTTGTGCAGATGTTTCTACAGGGTAAATTTCAAGATGTAGAATTGCTTGATTAAAGAGTATGCACATTCAAGAATTTTGAAACTACCGTCAATTGAAAGATCGTATAAAAGTACTTGTCCAGTCACAGAAGGTGAGGGCCAGTTTCACCTCACTAACAGTGGGCATTCTTAGTCTTTGTGAATTGTATTTTTCACATCTTTTGCTCATTTTTCCATTGGAGTACTAATTTTTTATTTAGTAAAAAAATTAGAAAAAAATTAGAAAAATTATATAGAAAAGAAAAGAAAAAAGAAGTAGTTGGGGCAAAGGCAGGGGACAGAAAGGGCTTTATCTTTATCTCCCTTAATCCCCATCAGCTCCCCTCTGGCCATCCTCCTTCCCTCCTCTCATCAGTATTCAAATACATAATTACATAAAATTTCTGTTGTTTAGCAGTAAAATGTGTAAATAAAAGTGTCTTTGGAAAGCTCCAGTTTGTGCACGATTTCAATGGAAAGGTTGTGCGTGCTATTTAAATATAGGTGGGAGGAAAGCCCCTCAGGCCTCCTCTGGAGTGGCGGTCGGCTGGAGGGGAGCAATCCCTCTAAAAGGTAACCTGGATCCCCAGCCATGGTGGGCAAGCCTAGCTCTGGGGTGGGACACTGGTGGAGGGAATGTGAGGAGTTTCCCCGTCTGTAGCAAACCCTCAGATCCATGAGACCCTGTGTGCCTTCCAAACACCCAATCACCTGTCACCAGCATCACTTGTAAATGACAAAAGGAGGTGCAGAGTATCTGCTTGAAATGCCACACCCAGCCCTGGCTTGCAGCCTCACCAGTGAGGACCTGGGAGGAGAAAAGAGGTGCACCCTACTGGTGATGGGTGTGCGAGCAACGGTCCGGCCAACCCTTTGCTCATCTCCTGGGCAAGCTTGAAGCCCCTAGTTGCAAACCTCAGTCAATCCATCTCCTTAGTTGGATTGACTTAGTTACAGGATGAAACTTCCTTGTTCTGGGAGATAGATAAGAGCTGTGTTCCAGAGAAGGAGTGCAGTTGGCCTGGGAGCAGAGGAGCAGCCCTGGGAGCAGAGGAGCAGCCCTGGGGCACGGGGAAGGGAGGAGAGGATCCTGTGTTCCTAGGAAGGATGTGTCTATTACAGGGTGATATATTGTGCTTTGTTTTGAGAAGAAGATTTTAGTTTTACGGTGCGGATGTGGGTTTCAACACCATAATGGGTTAACTTCTGCACAGAAAATTTGAAAACTAGAGGCTTTGCTCCATCTTCAAAAATTTAATGAAAATGTATCTACTAGGTATTAAATCACTTCCCTGCTGCAAAGCTCAGCCCATCAGATTTTACAGAAGCTGTGGAGGATGAATTGTGTTCCAAGGACAGAGATGTATTCTGGCTTTCCACTGGGCCCAGCCACAACCTGAAGCCGGCAGAGGAGAGTCCTTCTCTCCCAGGTGTCCCCCACACCTGCAGGACACAGGGTGTGCCTTCAGGTCAGTCAAAAGAGGTCCTTTAAACTTTTTCATTTCTCAATATATTTGTTTAGACAGAAGACCCTTTTTACAGATGTAGTCACTGAGCCCTGAGGGCTGCCGTACCCAGGCCAAGGTCATGTGGACTTGAGGCCAGAAGGCACAGCAAGAGGACAGGAGGCCAGTTGTCTTTCTTTGGCACTGGAAGACTTCCCAGTGTTCTGGTTGTCCTAACACCAGTGTCTCTCCTCCATGTCCCTTAGCTAAGTGCTTTAATGGAGACAGAGCAACCCAGGATAGCCACACCAAAGGCCCTGGCCTCAGAGGCTCAGCCTGCTGCTGGCTGGGGAAGGTGGCTGACAGAGGCTTCCAGCCCCCAGCTCCCTACAGGTCGCTGTCCTATGGACTGGGCCAAACCTCCCTGGGCACACCCCACCCCTACCTCCCACCCAAACCAAGTGCGCAGTGCCCTGAGAGCCTGCACTGTGAGAGACAGCCTGAACTAGAATGGCCTGCTGAGCACTCTAACATCAAGACTCAATTGCTGCCTCCTCCCCGGGCCCCTCAGCGGGAACCGGTTGTTCTTGTGCTTCTATTGGAGCAACTAATTACATCTATTATTGGAACAATTAATTTGTTGTCCATGTGACTGTTCCACTGTGGGCTCCTGGAAGGCAGGACCTATTTCATGTACCTCTTTGTAACCCTAGATGGAAAGCAACTTGCCCAGCACAGGAGGGCCCAAGTGACGCTTTTCCCGTGCCACCCCTTCTCTGGGCAGTTTCCTTTAGGCGTGGTCCCCCTCCTGAGGCACCACAGTGCCACCCAGTGGCAGAATTGCAGTACTGAGCTCTCCGGGGAGGGCTCTTCTGCCCCACACCCTGCTGGGGGCTACTTACAGCAGGGGTTGAAGGCGAGTAAGGGGTCACCGTCCTGGCAGGGCCCTCCTGCATGCCACAACTAAGGTCCAAATGGGGTTGAAATGGCAGAGAAACACAGCCAGTGCCTTTGTGGGCTCCATGTATTGCGGTATCTGCTTGAGGCTCATGCGGTTTCTCTCCCTGTCCTTTTTTTTTGTAGAGACAGAGGTATCCCTATGTTGCCCAGGCTGGTCTTGAACTCCTGGGCTCAAGCAATCCTCTCACCTCGGACTCCCAAAGTTCTGGGATTACAGGCATGAGCCACCCCGCCCAGTCCTAGTTTGTATTATTATTCCTTAGAGAACAACACTGCTGGAGGCAAGGGGCATGTCTGATCCATTTTATCCTCACAGGCTGGTCTGTGGCAAAAACTTAAAAGTACTGCATCTATGCAATGCATAGGAACAGCCAGCCTTTGATTGGGTCTTAGCAGAGGGAGTCAGGGTGAAGCACATAGGGTCTGGCATGAGAAGACCTCCATCCCAGTCCTGCCTGACACTTTCTCACTGTGTGGCCGTGGGCATGTCCCACCCTTTTCTGGGCCTCAGTTTCCCCATTAGTAAGTCAAAGGAGTTGCACTAGACTGTTACAAGGCTGCTCTGATCCTCCTGGGACCTCAGGACTCCTGATCTCAGAGGATGGCCTAGTTTTTCTTCTCTGAACCATTCCTACCCTCAAGCCTTTTCCTCGGATTGGCAAGACTTAGTTACAGGATGAAACTTCCTTGTTCTGGGAGATAGATAAGAGCTGTGTTCCAGAGAAGGAGTGCAGTTGGCCTGGGAGCAGAGGAGCAGCCCTGGGGCATGGGGAAGGGAGGAGAGGATCCTGTGTTCCTAGGAAGGATGTGTCTATTACAGGGTGATGCCAGGGAGCAGAGATGCCTCAGGCCTGGATTCAGATGGAGAACAGAAAGGGGGCCCCAGCTGTGCCAAAAGGGGATAGGGCCACCACTACACACTAGAGGAGATGGACAGTGGGCGGGGAGAGTGGCAGGGACACAAAGTGAGCTTTCAGCATTTGCATCCTGTGTCCAGCCAACAAATGTGTGGCATTGCTCCCAATAGCGAGGGAAGTGACTTCAAAGATGAGTAAATGGAGTGATTCTTCACCTGGGGAGGAGGGCGGCCCAGCTCTCCGGGAGGAATGCCAGAATATCAAATGGGGCTGGGAGGCTTTTAAAGATAAAAAGAAACATTCAATAAATCTAGGATTTTAATAAAAATAACAACCAAATACAAAGCTCAGCCAGTTCTCTCAGAGATGCACAAAAGCTGGAGTGAGAGAGTGTTGCAGTAGGAGCCTTGGTTTAAATCTCGAGAAGAGGCTGGGGACGATGGCTCATGTCTGTAATCCCAGCACTTTGGGAGGTCAAGGCGGGAGGATCACCTGAGGTCAGGAGTTTGAGACCAGCTTGCCCAACATGGCAAAACCCCGTCTCTACTAAAAATACAAAAAATTAGCCGGGCTTGATGATGGGCGCCTGTAATCCCAGCTACTTTGGAGGCTGAGGCCGGAGAATCACCTGAACCTGGGAGGCAGAGGTTGCAGTGAGCCGAGATCGCACCACGGCACTCCAGCCTGGGTGACAAGAGGGAAACTCTGTCTCAAAAATAAATAAATAACTAAAAATAGGCCGGGCGCTGTGGCTCTTGCCTGTAATCCCAGCACTTCGGGAAGCCGAGGCAGGCATATCACCTGAGGTCAGGAGTTCGAGACCAGCCTGACCAACGTGGTGAAACCCTGTCTCTACTAAAAATACAAAAATTAGCCGGCCGTGATGGCACACGCCTGTAATCCCAGCTACTCAGGAGGCTGAGGCAGAATAATCGCTTGAACCTGGGAGGCAGAGGTTGCAGTGAGCCGAGATATTGCCATTGCACTGCAGCCTGGGCAACAAAGCAAGACTCTGTCTCAAAAAAAAAAAAAAAAAAAGAGTTGTCACTAGGGCCCTGGACCTCCTTGCCAGCTATTGTGGGCCCTGTTTGTGGAGATCATGGTGGGGGCAGGCCATGTCTGCAGATGGGCAGGCTGTGATTACACCTTAGGGTCCAAACTCCCATCACTCTCTGAAGTGGCCCTCTATAATGATGCTTGGGCTTTGTCTTAGACATTTTACTTCTGGCTGGGTGTGGTATCTCACACTTGTAAATCTCAAATGATTTGAGAGGCTGAGGTGGGAGGATTGCTTGAGGCCAGGAGTTGGCGACCAGCCTGGACAATATAGTGAAACCTGGTCTTTAAATGCATAAATAATAGAGGCCGAGCGCAGTGGCTCATGCCTGTAATCCCAGCACTTTGGGAGGCTGAGGCAGATGGATCACTTGAGGTCAGAAGTTCGAGACCAGCCTGGCCAACATGGTGAAACCCTGTCTCTACTAAAAATACTAAAATAAGCCAGGTATGGTGGTACACATCTGTAATCCCAGCTATTCGGGAGGCTGAGGCAGGAGAATCACTTGAACCTGGGAGACAGAGGCTGCAATGAGCCAAGATCGCACCACTACACACCAGCCTGGGCGACAGAGCAAGACCCTGTCTCAAAATAATAATTAATAATAATAATAATAATTCTAAGAATCCTAAAGAAATAGCACTGAATGTGCACCACAGTTTATTTATAAGGCTATTTATCACAGCATTCTTGGCAACACTGAGCAATTGGAAGTAACCTAAGCCATCAGCAATAGGACAGGACACTAGATCCATGGAACCATATCCTGGGCAGCCACTAAAATGGCGGTGACGGAGAATTGTGTGGGGAGTTTGAATGTGGTTGTGTAGAGTGACTAGTCACCTTTATTTGATTATTTGTACCCTTTCCAAATTTTCTACAATAAAAATAAATAATTGTTGTAAACAGGCAAATAAGTATTTTAAAGAATTTACCTTTGCTTAAGATCAACCAATCTAGAATCAAATGAAGCCGCATTAAAAAGCTTATTAGTAAGTCATTTGTGATTCAGATATAATGAATGCCTGTGAACATCCTAGGGGATCAACTTGTTTTCTACTGTCTCCTTTCATCCTCACCATACTCCTAAGTTTGGTATTATTATCCCCAGTGTACCAATGAGGTCCCGGGCTCAGTGGGTGGTGACTTGGCCAAGGTTACATGACAAGCTTAAGTGAAAGAGACACTAACTCTGGCCAAGGTGTTGAAGAAGACTTTGACTTCGGCCGAGCGCGGTGGCTCATGCCTGTAATTCCAGCACTTTGGGAGGCTGAGGCAGGTGGATCACGAGGTCAGGCGATAGAGACCATCCTGGCTAACACGGTGAAACCCTGTCTCTACTAAAAATACAAAAAAGTTAGCGGGGCATGGTGGCGGGGGCCTGAAGTCCCAGCTACTTGGGAGGTTGAGGCAGGAGAATGGCGTGACGTGGGAGGCAGAGCTTGCAGTGAGCTGAGATCGCACCACTGCACTCCAGCCCAGGTGACAGAGCGAGACTCTGTCTCAAAAAAAAAAAAAAAAAAAAAGACTTTGACCTGAAATTTGGAGCAGCGGAGATGTTTGTTTGTTAGAAGAGCTCGGGTGCATCAGGGACTATTCCAGGAGAACAAGAAGAACCTAGAGCATGATGCAAGCATATTCGGTAGGGCCTTTCCCACAATGTCCTGGGCAGTTTTGCTGGGGCATCCTAGGTGTGGCACCAAGAGTTGCCCATCAGGATGTGTTATTCTTGCAAATTTCTTTTTTTTTTTTTTTTTTGAGACAGGGTCTCACTCTGTCACCCAGACTAGAGTGCAGTGGAAAGATCTTGACTCACTGCAACCTCTGCCTCCCAGGTTCAAGCTATTCTCCTGCCTCAGCCTCCCGAGTAACTGGGATTATAGGCGCCCACCACCATGCCTGGCTGATTTTGTATTTGAGTAGAGACAGGGTTTGACCATGTTGGCCAGGTTGGTCTCAAACTTCTGACCTCAAGTGATCTGCCCTCTTCAGCCTCCCAAAGTGCTGGGATTACAGGTGTGAGCCACTGCGCCTGGCCATTCTTGCACATTCGAATATCATGAAGCATTTTCCTAGCTTGGAAGCAAGATAATCCATCACTATCTATCCTCTTTTTGGTCTACTCTTCCCCCATCACAGGCTATATTTATATATCTGTCTTAGCCCATTTGTGTTGCTATAAAGGAACACTGGGGCTGGGTAATTTATAAAGAAAAGAGGTTTCTTTGACTCACAGTTCTCAGGCTATACAAGAAGCATGGTGCTGGCATTTGCATCTGGTGAAGGCCTCGGACTGCTTCCATTCATGGGGGAATGTGTCACGAGAAAGGAACAAGAGAGGAGGAGGGGCCAGGCCCTCTTTAACAATCAGCTCTCACAGGGACTCATAGGGAAGACTCACTCACTCCCAAAAGAATGGCACCATGCCATTCATGAAAGATCTACCCCCATGACCCAAACACCTCCCATTAGGCCAGACCTCCAACACTGGGGATCAAATTTCAACATGAGATTTTAAGGGGGGGCAAATATCCAAACTATATCAATGTCTTAATGAGAGGTCAGCTTGATATAAAATAATGTAAATGTTAAAAACGTCTCTTTATGGCCAGGTGCGGTGGCTCACACCTGTAATCCCAGCATTTTGTGAGGCCGAGTTGGGTGGATCACCTGAGGTCAGGAGTTTGGGACCAGCCTGGCCAACATGGTGAAACCCCGTCTCTACTAAAAAAAAAAAGAAAAAATTAGCTGGGCGTGGTGGTGGGCTGTAATTTCAGCTACTTGGGAGGCTGAGGCAGGAGAATTGTTTGAACCCAGGAGGCGGAGGTTGCAGTGAGATCGAGATCATGCCACTGCACTCCAGCCCGGGCAACAAGAGCAAAACTCTGTCTCAAAAAAAAATGTCTATTTAAAGTTGCAAGAGGAGAGGCTTGACTTGGACAAAGTAGAAGGAGACAGGTGGCTCTATAACTAAAAACAGAGTGACTACCCTTGGGACCCATCTCAATTTTTTTTCCCTAGACAGTCTTCAGACTTCAGTAAAATTAAGTGTGTGAGAGAAGACACTGGGAATATTGGCTTAGCTGAGAGAAGTGAACACCCTGCAAAATGAAAACGGGTGGGACTCCTTCCCAGCAAAAGCCCAGTCACTCCAGAGGGCCAGCAAGGGAAAAGCCAAGTGTTGCCTGGAAACCAGGTGATATGATTTGGCTGTGTCCCCACCGACATCTCATCTTGAATTGTAGCTCCCATAATCCCCACATGTCATGGGAGGGATTGGGTGGGAAGTAATTGAATCATGGGGGCAGGTTTTTCCTCTGCTGTTCTCATGAAAGTGAATACATTTCATGAGATCTGATGGTTTTATAAAGGGCCGTTCCCCTGCACATGCTCTCTTGCCTGCTGCCATGTAAGACATGCCTTTGTGCCTCCTTAGCCTTCCACCATGATTGTGAGGCCTCCCCAGCCATGTGGAACTGTGAGTCCATTAAACTCTTTCCTTTATAAATTACCCAGTCTCAGGTATGTCTTTACTAGCAATGTGAGAACAGACTAATACACCAGAGTTCACAGAAATAATGCAAAGTAGCATTTCTGATGCCTTCATTTAAATTTTCAAAAATATTTATAAATTATCCAAATGACATAATCACATTGTCAAAAAGCTGAAAAATAGAGAAAAGCAAAATCACACAATCTAATGCTTAAAGCAACCACTGTTGACACTGTTGTGTCTCATCACTCATATACACCCACCCATGCTTCCCCATTGTGGTAGCCACCTTTGAATCCAAGCACTGCCACTTGTGGGCTGTGTGACCTTGGACAAGTCACTTCTTATCTCACTTCTGGTCACTGTCTATGAGACTGTGTACCCTTTCCTCCATGGGAAGCTGTGGGCTGGAAAACCGCTTAGGGAATGCCCCGGGAGGTGGTGAGGGGCTGGGGGCTGGAGGGAGACCTGCATGCAGATCATGCAGTTGCCACGTCCTAGCAGTTGGTCTTGTTTAGGATTTCTCCGCCCTGGCACTCCTCCCAGGTGGGGCTGGATAATGCTTTATTGCGGGGGCTGTCCTGTGCTTTACAGTGTGCTCAGCAGTCTCTCCACTCTCTACTGCATAGCACGTCCCTTCCCCAGTTTTTTGTTTGTTTGTTTGCTTGCTTTTTAAGACAACAGTCTTGCCCTGTTGCCTAGGCTGGAGTGCAGTGGCGCGATCTCAGCTCACTGCAGCTTTTGCCTCCTGGTTTCAAGCAATTCTTCTGTCTCAGCCTCCCAAGTAGCTGGGATTACAGGCACATGCCACCACATCTAGCTAATTTTTATATTTTTAGTAGAGACAGGGTTTCACGATGTTGGCCAGGCTAACCTCGAACTCCTGACCTCCTGATCTGCCTGCCTCGGCCTCCCAAAGTGCTGGGATTACAGGCATGAGCCACCACACCCAGCCGACGCTGACCGTTTTCAGGAGGAGAGGCATGCTCTCACTGAAGACAGTCATGACAGAGCTGGAGACCTTACCGGCCCTTCCTGAGAGGGCTCTTCTGGGGACGCAGAGACTGTGGGTTCTGGCAGGAGGAATTTAAGCACATGCCCCTTCACAGAGAGTGGGAGCAGGGAAGGGACCCTGTGAGATGCTCATGGACCTCTGAAGGGGACTTTAAGTCTGAGTGGCACCACCCTGTTCCTCAGATCCCCTTTTCTGTACACTCTCCAGTCCCTGAGAACCTCCCCTGACCTCAAGCTGAGCAGGAAGGTGGGAGCATGCCCTGCAGTCAGTCAATGCCCACTCGGAGCTGGGTTGGGAGACTGCTCCCTGCGCTCCTACCCAGCACCTCTAGGTGTCCACAGTGTCCAGCGCTAGGCCCCTGGGTTGAAGCACAAGTCCCTTGATAACCTTTGCTTCTGCACAGGTAAATGCCCTTTTTCCTGATGTCAGCCTTACGGCACTGGGGATTTTCCAAATGAATCTTTCTTGAGACAAGGAGCAGGGAGTGGCCCTTCCCTGAGTCACTGCTCTGGTGGACTCTGGGTTGGGCAGGCTTAGTGGGCCCACTGCTGCTCTGGTGAGCCCAGCACACCTACTGCCCTCACCTGCCCCACCTCTACCAGCTAGCCCACCCTCTCTGCTGGCCTTTCCCTCAGTACCTGAGCCCAGGCTTGACAACACCACCAGACCATACGCAGCAGATGTCATCTTCCCAGTGGTATCTCTACCTCCAATCTCTTTCCAAAAGTGCCATGACCGGAGGGAATGTCTGAATTTTAGTCATGGACAGAAACCAAAGGTCAAAATCAGACAGTATACCTCTGGCAGGAAGCAGGGAAGTGGTGAGAATTCCAGAAGCTCAATGGTGAACTTGGATCTAAAGGGACAGGAGAGGGCGTTGGATAATGAAGGCACATGAAGTTGGGGGGTACCATGCAGGACAGAGGCTGTGCTCAGGTGAAGGCAGTGGGGCCTGTTTATGGGGTGTGATGTCAGGCCCTTGGGACAGGCCTGCTGGGCCCTGAGGGGCAGCCCAGGGCCCTGCTCCTGTGCACACTGATAGCTCAGCATCCACACCCTGGATAGAGACCTCCAGCTAGGACAATGTCAGGACTTGGTGGCCCAGCAGGCTTCTGGAGCAATGCTGGCCAAGTCCTTCCCTAAACAGCATTTTTCCATGAGTGACCCTGGGCTCCCCTGCCTATCACGTCTCCTTCAGAGAACCACAGTGCACATGCACAGACTAAAGGCTCTTTGAAATCCTGCTGTGTGGCTGGGCGTGGTGGCACACTTCTGCAATCCCAATACTTTGGGAGGCTGAGGCAGGAAGATTGTTTGAGCTCAGGAGTTGTAGACCAGCCTGGGCAATATAGCAAGACCCTATCTCTACAAAACATTTTTTTTAAATGTAGCTGCTCATGGTGGTACACACCTATAATCCCTGGTATTTGGGAGACTGAGGTGGGAGGATTGCCAGAACCCAGGAGTTCGAGCCTGCAGTGAGCTATGATTGTACCACTGCACTGCAGCCTGGGTGACAGAGTGAGATGAAGGGAAGGGAAGGGGAGGGGATGGGAGGGGCAGGGCACAGTGGCTCATGCCTGTAATCCCAGCACTTTGGGAGGCCCAGGCCGAGGCGGGCGGATCACCTGAGGTTAGGAGTTCAAGACCAGCCTGACCAATGTGGTGAAACCCCATCTCTACTAAAAATACAAGAGTTAGCCAGGCATGGTGGTAGGCACCTGTAGTCTCAGCTACTTGGGAGGCTGAGACAGAAGAACTGCTTGAACCTGGTAGGCAGAGGTTGCAGTGAGCCAAGATCATGCCACTGCACTCCAGCCTGGGTGACAGAGTGAGATTCTGTCTCAAAAAAAGAAGAAAAGAAAAGAGAGGAAAGAAAGAAAGGGAAGAAAGAAAGAAAAGGAAGGAATGAAGGAAAAGGATGAAAGAAGGAAAGGGATGGAGGGGAAAGAGAGAAAGGAAAAGAAAGAAAGAAAGAAGAAAAAGAAAGAAATAAAGAAAAAGAAAGGAAAGAAAGAAAGAGAAAAAGAAAGGAAAGAAAGAAAGAGAAAAAGAAAGAAGAAAGAAAAGGAGGAAGAAAGAAAAGAAAAGAGGGAGGGGGAGAAGGAAGGAAGGGAGGAAGGAGAAGAAGGAAAGAAGAAAAGAAAAAGGAAAAGAAAGAAGAAAGAAAACGAAAGAGGGAGGGAAGGAAGGAGAGGGAGGGGGAGGGAGGGGGAGGGAGGGGGAGGGGAGGGGAGGAGAGGGGAGGGGAGGGGAGGGGAGGGGAGGGGAGGGGAGGGAAGGGAAGGGAAGGGAAGGGAAGGGAAGGGAAGGGAAGGGAAGGGAAGGGAAGGAAGGGAAGGGAAGGGAAGGGAAGGGAAGGGAAGGGAAGGGAAGGGAAGGGAAGGGAAAAGCAAGCTTCCTAGGAAGGCAAGGGAAAGGAAAAGCAAGCTTCCTAGGCAGGACAACTCAGCAGAGTCATGGCATTAGGAGAGGACATGATGCAACAGTCCGTGGAGGTTGTGGTTGCCAGGGAAAAGGGGCAGAGGGAGGTTGAAATATACAAAGTTTATTGGAGGATGACATAAACGTCCTGGAATTAGATAGCAGTGATGGTTCTATGACAAGTTTGTCCAACCAGAGGCCCGCAGGCCACATGTGGCCCAGGACATCTTTGAATGCGGTCTGGCACAAATGTGTAAACTTTCTTAAAACATTAGGAGATTTTTTGTGATTCTTTTTAGCTCATCAACTATCGTTAGTGTTAGTGTATTTTATGTGTGGCCCAAGACAATTATTCTTCCCATGTGGCCCAGGGAAGCTAAAAGATTGGACACCCCTGTAATGTACAAGATTGTGAATATACTAAAAATCTCTAAATTGTACACTTTAAAATGGTTAAAATGGTAAATTTTATGACTTGCGAATTTTTTTTTTTTTTGTGATTGAGTCTCACTCTGTTGCCCAGGCTGGATTGCAATGGCGCAATCTTGGCTCTCTGCAGCCTCTGCCTCCCGGGTTCAAGCTATCCTCCTGCCTTAGCCTCCCAAGTAGCTAGGATTACAAGCACGTGCCACCAGGCCCAGCTAATTTTTGTATTTTTAGTAGAGATGGGATTTCACTGTGTAGGCCACTGACCTCCTGACCTCAAGTGATCTGCCCACCTCAGCCTCCCAAAGTACTGGGATTACTGGCATGAGCCACTGCACCCAGCCAACTTGTGAATTTTGTCTCATTTTTTGTCATTGCCTGTTTTGGTTTTGTTTTGTTTTGTTTTTTGAGACACAGTCTTGCTATGTTACCCAGGGTGGTCCTGAACTCCTGGCCTCAAGCGACTCTCCTGCCTTAGCTTCCCGAGTAGCCGGGACTACAGACAGTGCTAAATTTGCCCAGCTTAAATTGTATCTCAACATTTTGAAAAAAGTTAAAGACACCACAATCCATGGTGACCTGACAAGAAGGAGCCAGGGAAATAAGCACCTGACAGCCCCACTCCCACTCCACTTTCCAGATACCCGCTGGTGCCTCCTGCTGACAGAACGCACCTGGGTCAGGGCACTGACACACAATGTGTTTGGATCTGCCTCCCAAGGGACAGGGCAGGGTGGAGAAATGCAAGGGTACACCTGGGGAAATAAATAGAAGGATATTCAGTAAAGCTCCTTGGGTAGCATTTTAGAAGTTTCTAGTAACATTGACACACTGACACTGTACATGTAATGTAATTCAGCAGTTGTTGATACAAGTCAGGGCCTCCCTGGGAAAGGAAGGAATGAGGGGGCCAGTGAAACCAAACCAAGTTGGAGACCTCATAAAGTTCAGGTGCTGGGGTGCACTAATTCTCCCTATTGACTCAGTCATTGAGTCACTTGACTTGTGATTTGAAGAGCTGAAAAGAAGGAGTTCTTCCATTGGACAGCCAAGCCCTGGCTGGTGAAGAGCAGATATCCTTACCTACAGGCCCATGGCAGACACAATACCATGTGCTCACCAAACCGATTTATTTTTCTCCTGGGCACACAGGAGAGCTATGTTTCCCAGCCCCCTAGCATCATGTCGAATTCTGGCCAATGGAATGCGGGGAGAAGTGATGTGTGCCTTTTTCAGGGGTGGCTCTTCAAACTTTTCATGCAACCATCCATGTTCTCCCCTTGCCTACCAGCTGGCTGGATGCAGGAGAAGAGTCCAAGATTCCTGGGGACAGTGGAGTTACTGGATAGAGAGCTTGAATTCCTGACTCATTGCTTGCAGGAGAGCTGCTTAACTGGGCACATCTGGGTTGGACTTGGCATGAACCAGTGGTGAGAAATGAGGTCTCAGTCCAACAGCCAACGGGGAATTAAGGTTGGCCAACAACAACATGAGTGACCTTGAAATGGGAGCCTCCTCCAGTTGAGCCTTCAAATGACTGCAGCCCGTTGGTGGCACATGCCTGTAGTCCCAGTTACTCAGGAGGCTGAGGCCGGAGGATAACTTGAGCCCAGGAGTTTGAGGCTGTAGTTATGACATTATGATTGTGCTTGTTAATAGCCACTGCACTCCAGCCTGGGCAACAGAGTGAGACCCCGTCTCTTAAAACAACAACAACAACAACAACAAAACTGCAGCCTGAGCCAATATCTTGTCTGCAACCTGATGAGAGATACTGAGGCAGAACCCAGTTATGCTGCTCCTGGATTCCTGACCCCCATAACCATAGATAATAAATGTTTGTTGTTTAAAGCTGCTAAATCTGGGGTTAATTTGTTATGCGGAGATAGATAACTAATACAGTAATACAGTTCATTTGTCATTTTTTTTGTTTGTTACAGTGGGTAAATCTTGGACCCATTTTGGAACCTGTTTTCATTCAAGGTGTGAGGTGTAGACCAAACTTTCTTTTTTCAAAAGGATAGTCAATGGTCTCAATAATATTTATGGAATATCCATCCTTTCCACAGACTTAAAATGCTACTTTCATTTACTACCTCTGGTATTATAGTGAAGCTTTTGGTGTCTTGGTATCTAGACTCTCTTTATCAGGATGGTACACAACCCCCAACCCCTTGTAGCTGACAGCTCATATTTGCATTTTTTTTTTTTTTTTTTGAGATGTTCACCTTCTCTGCCAACACCTGCAAGGCCCTCGCCTTGAGGCTGGAAGACGAAGGTGCGGTCTGAGGCCTCCCGTGGCATAGCCCATGTGAATTTGGGGGAGCAAGCCTGGCTGAGTGTTCCTCCTGACCCGGCTGGGACACCACCATGCACCCAATCCACCTTGAGCCCTGCTCGCCTTCCACGTGCAGCTGCTGAGGACAGAAGGAAAGTAAGCACTCCAGCCCGGCTCTGCCTTCTCCCACCGCGCAGACTCTGCCTCGGCACCTGCAAGAGGAGGTGACTAGGAACTGACACCCCTGGCACCTTCACCGATACCCTGTTACCTGCTGTGTGCACCCGGACCTGAACAGATGCGCTCCCGCCTGGCTTAGCTCTCTGTGGCTGTTCTCCCTCCTTTCGGTCATGCTCCTTAATTGGACTCCCTCCAAGGCACTGTTGGTTCCTCTTTTGTTTTGTCTTTTGTTTGTTTGTTTGTTTGTTTGTTTGTTTGTTTTGAGATGGAGTCTCGCTCTGTCGCCCAAGCTGGAGTGCAATGATGGCAAGATCTCTGCTCACAGCAACCTCCACCTCCCGGGCTCAAGAGACTCTCCTGCCTCAGCCTCCTAAGTAGCTGGGATTACAGACAGGCACCATCATGCCCAGCTAATATTTTTTGTATTTTTGTAGAGACAGGGTTTCACCATGTTGGCCAGGCTGTTCCTGAACTCCTGACCTCAGATGATTCCTGCCTCGGCCTCCCAAAGTGCTGGGATTATAGGCGTGAGCCACTGTGCCCGGCCGTTTTGTCTTGTTCTTAAGGAAGATTCAGCCTCACAGCACAAGCATCGGCTCGTAGAGTAGAAATTTCCCAGACAGAGAGCCTTTTAAAATAAAAATATACCTCTTTGAATTACCATTTTGTTGCTACAGCAATGCTATAGCAGTATGAGGAGGTGGTAGGGGGTGGGTGGGTATTTTTCCAAAAAGAAAGATGTCTTGGGGCCTATTAATTGCCCTGCCCAAATGTTCTCACTGCAGTGTGACCACATCACCAGCTGTTGTCTGTCTCACTTACAGAAATTCAGAAATGCTGGCATCATCAAGACATCCCCAATGATGAGATTTCTGGGTGATGTAAATCCACAAACTTTTAGGCTTTGCTTTAGTCAGGGTCCTGGCAGGAAAAAGATGATGCACTCAAACTGAGTAATTGGAGGAAGCTTTGATAAGAGACTGTTTAGAAACCTGTGCGCAGGGCCTAAGGACTCCAGCAAGGGCTACTGCAGTGCCTCAAGGTTGGGAACAGCTTGACCAGGAGGGGCAGGAGATGGAAGAGATTATGGAAGAGGAGAGTGTAGTATATGGAGAGGGACACTAGACAAGGGGTATGGCATTTGGTGAAGGGACACAACCAACTTATGGCAGAGGGCACAACCCAGCAGGAGGAAAGCTGGAAATACTCACCTGCCCTCACTTATTCCCTTCCACCCATCTCCTGTGGTCCTTCCCGCTGGCCAAGCCCATCTGCAAGTGTTACAGGGAAGGGGTCTCGATCTACACCCCAAGAGAGGGTTCTTGGATCTTGTGCAAGAAAGAATTCAGGGCGGGTCCATAGAATACAGTGAAAGCAAGTTCATTAGGAAAGTAAAGGAATAAAAGAATGGCAACTTCATAGGCAGAGCAACCCCAAGGGCTGCTGGTTGCTCATTTTATGGTTATTTCTTGACGATATGCTAAACAAGGGGTGGATTATTTATGCCTTTTGTTTTTAGACCATATAGGGTAACTTCCTGACGTTGCCATGGCATCTGTAACTGTCATGGCACTGGTGGGAGCGTAGCAGTGAGGACGACCAGAGGTCGCTCTCATGGCCATCTGGTTTTGGTAGGATTTAGCTGGCTTCTTTACTGCAACCTGTTTTATCAGCAAGTTCTTTATGACCTGTATCTTGTGCCAACCTCCTATCTCATCCTGTAACTTAGAATGCCTTAACCGTCTGGGAATGCAACCCAGTAGGTTTCAGCCTTATTTTACCCACTCCCTACTGAAGATGGAGTTGCTCTGGTTTAAATGCTTCTGACAGAGCACATGAATGCAATCTGTAGAGTGGGTCTGGAGGGCAAATGAAAGTCATCTAGCACAGACAGGTGGCTGAAATAAGCAAGCTACCGATATACTATTTAATGTATTATTTAGTTACTCCTCAGGAATTACAATCACATTTGTTGGATATATAGCTTTTCCACAAAATGATTTTATTTGCTCATGGACCATCGGGAGAAATTTCAAGGATGTTGAACCTTAAAAGGAACTCATAGGTAGATCTCTCCATGGAGGATCCATCGTACAGATGCAACACCAAGTAAAGTGTCTTGGACAAGGTTTCACACAAGTTTATGATTGTCCCGGGAGTAGAGTCCAGGCCACTGGTTCTGTTTGCCATATTCTGACACCCAGGACAGGCCACCACAGGCCCTCCATGGCTCTCTTCTACAGAGGTGCCAGACCCTGCCTGCTCATTTCCCAGTTTCCCAGAGAAATTCAAGCAGAGGTCTTTCTCCCACTTCCCTCTGTGAAGGCCTGTGAAAGGTGTCAGTGAGACAGGCAGGCAGGAAGGGCTCCCTGGCAGAGCCTCTCCCCGACCTGCACATTGGGAGGAGTATACACTGGGGTGGAGCCACAGAAATTTGTGCCATTTGCAGCGGGGAGGAGCCTGGTCCCTCCTCTTTCTGTGTGGAACTTGAGATTCAAACTGCGAGGCAGGAAGTGCACCAGCAGGGACTCTGGCCTGGCGGAGAGTCCCTGTTCCCCTTTTGTACCTTTTTGCCTAATAAATCCCATTATTCTCACCCTTCAAATCACCTGCAAGCCTAACTTTTCATGGGCATGGGACAAGGACCCTGTCTTTACCTGAACTAAGGAAAAGTCCTGCAAAAGCAGGGCCAGGGTCCTCGACTAAGGGCAGACACCAGACTTTGAAGTCTGGCTGCTCTGAGGCCCTGGGTTCCTTCTGCAAATTTCTGGGCACTCTATTTCATCCGGCAAACCATTGTTGGGCTAGAGGATGCTGCTCCTGCTGTTCTTGCCTGAATATTGGACATCGGGAGCCAAAAGCACAGCCCTGGTTGCATTGTTTTACATGACTTGTAAACTTATCCTAGCTCAAGGCTCAGCTCAAATGCATCTTCCTTCCCCTGATAGAAATGTGTCACTTCTTTTGCCTGAATTGAAGCCATGAATCCATTGTTCTGAGTCATTGTCTGTCTTCTGCCATGAGCGTGGGAGCACAGGCATCATGTCATGTCCATCTTGGCATTCCCAGTAGTTGGCCTCCTTTCTTAGACCTGGGAGAACTTTTGATTACCATGTGAATCTCCTGGGATAAGAGCTGTATTCCAGAGTGGAAAAGGTGTGATTGGCCTTGAGAGTAGAGAATGGGTGTATTAGCCCTGGGAAGAGGGGGAGTGTCAGCTCCTGTATTGCAGGAAAGGCACTTCTCTTGCTGGGTTAGGTCAGGTTGCACAGACATCTTAGACCTGGCTTCTGGTGGAGGGACAAAGGGGTAACCACCACAGTTATGCCTAGGAGACAGTGGAAGAGGGCGAGTTACTCTGGTGTGTGCAATTCTGGGTGTGGCTTCCCTGAACTGCTAGGAACTGGTGGGAAACACTGCAACAGGTGTGGGAGATGCTGATTATCTTAGTCTGTTTTCTGTTGCTTAAACAGAATACCTGAAAATAGGTAATTTATGAAGAAAATACAAGTATTTCTTATAGTTATGGAAGCTGAAAAGTCCAAGGGCTGCATGCATTTAGCAATATGCATTTCAGGTTCCTCTGTGTCTTCTCATGGTTTGATAGCTCATTTCTTTTTAGTGCTGAATAATATTCTAAGGCAGTGCAGGGTTTCACATGGCAAGGGGCTGAACGTGCTAATGTGCTAGTTCAGGTCTCTCTTCCTTTTCTCTTTTCTTTTTTCTTTTCTTTCTTTCTTTCTTTCTCTCTCTCTCTTTCTTTCTCTCTCTCTCTTTCTTTCTCTCTCTCTCTCTTTCTTTCTTTCTTCTTTCCTCCTCCTCCTTCTTCTTCTTCTTCCTCTTTTTTTTTTTGAGATGGAGTTTTGCTCTTATCACCCAGGCTGGAGTGCAATGGTGCGATCTTGGCTCACTGCAACCTCTGCCTCCCATGGTTCAGGTGATTCTCCTGCCTTAGCCTCCCAAGTAGCTGGGGCTACAGGCATGCACCACCATGACTGGCTAATTTTGTATTTTTAGTAGATACGGGATTTACCATGTTGGCCAAGATGATCTCGAGCTCCTGACCTCAGGTGATCCACCTGCCTTGGCCTCCCAAAGTGCCGGGATTACAGGCGTGAGCCACTGCACCCGGACTCTCTTCCTTTTCTAATAAAGCCACCAGTTCTACTCCCATGAAAACCCATTAATTCATTAGCCTATTAATCCATGAAGGGATTAATCTATGATCCAATCACTTCTTAAATGCCCCACCTCCCAATACTGCCACACTGGGGATTAAGTTTCCACGTGAGTTTTGGAGGGGACATTCAAACCATAGTACTAACTTAGACAAGGAGGAAAGCCATCTCTGATGGAAGGTACCGTGATCTTGGAGGGGCCACAAGTAACTGAAAAATCATGTTACCCAAACCTTTGATTTTGTAACATAACTTAGAAAGTAAAGCTCAAAAAAGTTTTCTGAGCTGGTGGAGTTACGCAGAGGCCAGGGCGAGAAACCCTGGGAGGACAGGGGAGTGGATCAGTCAGTGTGCAGCAGGAAACAGATGACACACTAAAACAGGGAAATTGAGGAGAGTTTACTGAATGGGATCATTTACAATTGTACGGGCAGCTTCAAGGGAAAACAGCAAAATGGTGCAGTCTCCTGGGGCTAGTAAGAGGAGGAAGCTGTTGGCACCCCTAGGCCTGAAAGAGCAGGGGCTGGAGGAATCTGGATAGGGAAGATATAGAAGAGGGCCTCCTCAGGAGGGGATGAAGCAACCATGGTGCCCTGGCCTGGACTGAGTTAGGAGGGTAAGTACTCCAGCCTCACTCCCCTCCTGCCCTCTGCTCTCTTGCCTGTGCCTCCAACAGGAAGCAAAGAAACTTTGCTGTAGTCCACATGTCAGCAAAACTATAGCCAGGAATCCAAATTCAGCTTGCCACCTGTATTTACATGACCTTTGAGCTGAGAAATGCTTTTTACATTTTTGAATGGTTGACAAAAACACACTCTTACCATACAACTCAGCAGTCATGCTCCTAACCCAAAGGAGCTGAAGACTATGTCCACACAAAAACCTGCATATTCATGTTTATGGCAGCTTTATTCATAATCAGCAAAACTTGGAAGCAAACAAGATGTCTTTCAGTGGATGAATGGATAAATAAACTGTAGTACATCCGAACAATGGAATATTATTCAGCACTAAAAAGAAATGAGCTATCAAGCCATGAGAAGACACGGAGGAACTTTAAATGCATATTGCTAGGTGAAAGAAGCTAATCTGAAAAGGTTATACATTGTGTGATCCCAACAATATGATATTAATGTAAAGGCAAAACTATGGAGGCAGTAAAAGAATTAGTAATTGCCAGGGGATAGAGGGGAAGAAAAGATGAATAGGTGGAGCACAACGGATTTTTAGGGCAGCAAAACTATTCTGCATGATACTAAAATGATGGATACATGTCATTATACATTTGTCCAAACTCGTAGAATGAATAACACCAAGAGTGAACCCTGATATAAATTACAGACTCTGGGTAATAACAATGTGTCACTGTAGATTCATTAATTGTAACAAATGTACCAATGTGGTGGGAGATGTTGATTTGAGGGAAGACTGTTGTGGGTGGGTATATGGGAACTCTGCACTTTCCACTAAATTTTGCTGTGAACCTAAAACTGCTCTAAAAAATAAAGTCTTTTTTTTTTATAATTCCACTAGATCACTGGAAAAATTAAGTCTTCTTAATCAAAAGAAGAATAATATTTCATAACATAAAATTACAGGAAATTTAAATTTCTGTGTTCATAACTAAAATTTTATTGGAATGCAGCCACGCCCAGCCCATTTGTTAATATTTCTATAGCTGCTTTCAGGCTACAACAGTAGGGTTGAGTAGTTGCAACAGAAACCATATTCCCACAAAGCCTCAAATATTTGCTAACTGGCATCTTACAGAACAACTGTGTTCTTATCTATCCACTTTCCAAGGCACAGAGTGGATTGAATGTCGAAGGCAAACAGAACATTTTCAGCCAGAGTATTGGTCACAAAGGCCAAAGAACTGTGTCAGGTAGTTGTGATGTTTTTACTTTTAGCGCAACCCATGCAACTTTTAGACCGTTCCATTCAAGTTACCAGAATCCCATTTAGGCACTGAGGTCTCTCTGCTTTTTTACCTCAGGGCTTACAGTCAGTGGATAATTCTCTAACCTCCCCATCCTTTGGTGGGCTCATTGTAGAAGGACTTCAGGGGATCGGGTGCAGTGGCTCATGCCTGTAATCCCAGCACTTTGGAAGGCCAAGGTGGGCGGATCACTTGAGGTCGGGAGTTTGAGACCAGCCTGGCCAACAAGGTGAAACCCCGTCTCTACTAAAAATACAAAAATTAGCTGGGTGTGGCAACGCGCACCTGTAGTCCCAGCTACTTGGGAGACTGAGGCAGGAGAATTACTTGAACCTGGGAGGCAGAGATGGCAGTGAGCCAAGATGGCACCACCGCCCTCCAGCCTGGGTGACAGTGTAAGACTCCACCAAAAAAAAAAAAAAGTACTTCAGGGATCCCCAGTGGGAATGAGCTCAGTTGCCACACCAGCTCATCACCTTGCCCTTAATTAGCTTTCTTGCCTTTGTTTTCTCTCTTTCCCTCGCCTACATTTCTGCTTCCTGACATAATTTCCTAAGTAAACTGCGTACAACTTTTCTCAGGTCTTGGTCTTATGGGAACTCAAAGTAAGAGAATAATATTGTTCTATGTTGTTTAAAGCATTGCTTAATTATTTGGAATTCCAAACACATGCAAATTTTCTACTTATATTTTTGTTATTGAGCATTTAATTATTTTGTGATCAGAGACCATACTCTGTGGTTACTTCAAGCCTTTGAAATCTATTGAGACTTGTTTTATGGCCCAGCATATGGTCAATTTTTGTAAAAATTCTTTGTGTCCTTGAAAAGAATGTGAATTTTGCAATTGTTAGGTGCAATCCTTTATATATACATGTTTTACCAAGTTAATTGTGTTATTCAAATCTTATATATCTTTACTGATTTTTTTTTCTGATAATTCTGTCCATTCGGAGGTGTGTGTTAAAATCTTCCACTATGTTTGTGGATTTGTGTATTTCTTATTATAGTTCTCTCAATTTGTGCTTTATATATTTCAAGGCTTTGTTTATTAGGTACATGTAAGTTTAGAATTGTTATATCCTTTTGGTGATTTAAATTTTCTATGCTTATCACTGAAACTTTTTTTTGCATTAAAGTTTTTTTTTATGATATTAACATACTATTTTATCTATTGTTATACAACAAATCACCCTAAAACTAGCAGCTTAAAACAATAATGACATAGTTTTGCTTATAAATCTATAATTTGGGCAAGACTCAGTAGGGATAGTTTCATCTCTGCTCCATTTAGTGTTAGCTGGGTTGGCTCAAAGACTGAGGACTGGAATCATCTGAAGATTTATTTACTCGTATGTCTGGTGGTTGTGTCTGGTTGTGGGCTGGAATCCTAGCTGGTTGTTGGCCTGAATACCTACATATGGCCACTTCTTGGTTCCCAGGGTCTGCATTCTTTTTTTTTTTTTGAGACGGAGTCTTGCTCTGTAGCCCAGGCTGGAGTGCAGTGGCATGGTCTGGGCTCACTGCAAGCTCCGCCTCCTGGGTTCACGCCATTCTCCTGCCTCAGCCTCCCAAGTAGCTGGGACCACAGGCGCCCACCACCACGTCCGGCTAATTTTTTGTATTTTTAGGAGAGACGGGGTTTCACCGTGTTAGCCAGGATGGTCTCGATCTCCTGACCTCGTGATCCGCCCACCTCAGCCTCCCAAAGTGCTGGGATTACAGGCTTGAGCCACAGCGCCTGGCTGGGTCTGCATTCTTAGAGAAAGAATCAAGCAGAAGCTCTATTGTGTTTTATGACCTACCTTCTAAAGTCATGCAGTACCACTTTCACTATATTCTGTTCATCAAGGCAGTCACAAAGGCCTGTCTAAATTCAGGAGAAGGTGAAATAGACTCTTAATGAAGGAGTGTAAAAGTTCTGGAAGAACATGTAGAACCAGAAATATTACTTTTGCATTTTTGGAAAAACACAATTTTCTACATATAACTATACCAGTTTTATTTTGATCAGTATTAGTGTGGTATACCTTTTTCTATTCTTTTACTTTCAAACTTGTTATATCCTTATGTTTTAGATGTGTTTCATGTAAACAGAATATATTTGGGTTTTGCTTTTTCATTCAGTCTGACAATCTTTGAATTTTAACTAAAACATGTAGTCCATTTACATTTAATGTAATTATTTGTGTATTTGGGTTCAACTCTACCATCAAACTATATGATTTCTATTTGTACTGTCTTCTTAGCACTCCTTTTAAAAAGTATTTTCTTGTGTTCTTTTTGCATGAGTTAATTAATTTTAAATTAAGACATTCATGTTTATCTTAGATATTATGGCATGTATCTCTGACTTATTAAATACTAATATTAATTAGAATTTTACCTCTTCCCAGGAATGCAAGGACCTTAGACTATTTTAACCCCATTTACCACATATACAATTTTTGTGCTATGTGATAGATTTTAATTCTACATTTCTTTAAAACCCTACAAGATTTTTTTTTTTTTTTTTTTGAGACGCAGTCTCACTCTGTCGCCCAGGCTGAATGGAGTGCAGTGGCTTGATCTCGGCTCACTGCAAGCTCCGCCTCCCGGGTTCACACCATTCTCCTGCCTCAGCCTCCCGAGTAGCTGGGACTACAGGTACTCGCCACCACGCCTGGCTAATTTTTTGTATTTTTAGTAGAGACGGGGTTTCACCGTGTTAGCCAAGATGATCTCGATCTCCTGACCTTGTGATCCACCCGCCTCAGCCTCCCAAAGTGCTGGGATTACAGGCATGAGCCACCGCGCCCGGCAAAACCCTACAAGATATTATAATTGTTGTCTTACACAGCCAATATTCATTAGACTTATCCAAATAACTACCATTTCATTGGTTTTCTTTTCTTCCTGAATCTCCAATCTTTCTTCTAGAATCATTTCCCTCTATCTGAAGAGATGAGACCTGTTTAGTTTTTCCTTCAGTGTGGTCTTCTGAAAGCAAATTATTTTGTTTTTGTTTCCCTAAAAATGTGTTTATTTAAACTTCATTCTTGGCTGGGCATGGTGGTTCATGCCTGTAATCCTAGCATTTTGGGAGGCTGAGGCAGGTGGATCGCTTGAGCCCAGGAGTTTGCGAACAGCCTGGGAAACATGGTGAAACCCTGTTTCTACAAAAAATACAAAAATTAGCCGGGCATGATGGCAGGTGACTGTAGTTCCAGCTACTCAGGAGGCTGAGGTAGGAGGATCACCTGAGCCCAGGAAGTTAAGACTGTGGTGAGCCGTGATCATGCCACTGCAATGAGTGGCATGAGTTTGGGTGGGAGAGTGAAACCCTATCTCAAAAATAAAAATAATATTTTTTTTGAGACAATCACCCTCTGTTACCCAGGCTGGAGTGCAGTGGCACAATCTTGGCTCACTGCAACCTCTGCCTCTTGGGTTCAAGCAATTCTCCTGCCTCAGCCTCCTGAGTAGCTGGGATTAGAGGTGCCCACCACCACACCCAGATAATTTTTGTATTTTTAGTAGAGATGGGGTTTCACCATGTTGACCAGGCTGGTCTCACACTCCTGACCTAAAGTGATCTGCCCACCTCAGCCTCTCAAAGTTCTGGGATTACAGGTGTGAGCCAGTGTGCCCAGCCAAAAAATTTCATTTTTGAAGGATATTTTACTAAATATAAAATTCTAAGTTGTTAATTATTTTCTTTTATCACATTAAACATAATTTCACTGTCTTCTGGATTTTGTAGTTGCTAATAAGAAATCAGTTGTCAGTCTGTCTGTTCCTCTGAAGATAATCTACTTTTTTCTGTTCTGCTTGTTTTTAAAATTTTCTCTTTATTTTTGGTTTTCTGCAGTTTTACAATGAAGCATCTGGGTGTGATTTATGTTAATGCTGTGTATGGCTGGATGTAGTGGCTCACCCCTGCAATCCCAACACTTTGGGAGACTGAATGGAAGGATTGCTTGAGGCCAGGAGTTCAAGACCAGCCTAGGCAACTTAGCGAGACCCTGTCTCTACAAAAAAAAAAAAAAAAGAAAGAAAATTAGCAGAGCATGGTGGCTCATGTCTGTATCCCCAACTACTCAGGAAGCTGAGGTGACAGAATCACTTGAGCCTGGGGGTTCAAGGCTGTAGTGAGCTATGATCACACCACTGCACTCCAGCTTGGGTGACAGAGTGAGACTCTGCCTCTAAGTAAATAAATAAATTAAGTACTGTGTGTGATTTTGGGGGCTTCTTGAATCTGTGGACTGATATCTTTCATCACCATTTCTGCATCATGTCCTTGAATCATCAGTTCTGGAAGTCTCATTCATTATTCAAGTATTGCTTTTGCCCTATTTCTTCTTTCTTCTGGAATTCCAATTAAATGTATATTGGTCTTTCTTACTGTGCCCTCTATGTCTCTGATCTTCTCTTCCATTTGTCATCCATTTATCTCTCTGTGCTCCATTCTGGATGAATTCTTCTAACTTGTCTTATTTATTTACTCTGTTTTTAGACTCATCCATTGAGTTTTTAATTTGTGTTATTATGTTTTTTAGTTCCTGAATCTTCAATGTCTGTTTTTATAGTTTCCAATATTTTGCTGAAATTTTTGAGTTCAGTTTTTAACCCTATGATGATAGTAAGATAGTTTTTTCCCCCTCATCTCTGTCTAATAATTCCACTATCTGGAGTATCTGTGAGCCTCTTTCTGTTTTCTATTGTTCCTGCTTACTTTTGTTCTTATTTTATTTCTTGTTATGCCTGGTTATCTTTGATTGTGTGTTAGAAACTGTACTTGAAAAATTTATTGGAGCAATTTTAGTACTAGGATGATATCATCTTCCTTTAGAAATGATTTTCATTTACTTTTGCAAATGTGTGGGGACATTAGCAATCCAGGACCATTGTAATCCATTTTAGTGCTTGAGATTTTTCTGAATCACCCAGATTTCTTGAAACTGAGCTACAGTAAAGGGGAAGGCTAGTTTACTTTTTGTTTACTTTTACTTTCAGGGTTTAGTCAATCAAAATTCCACTTCTAAAGTATGGGGTGGTTTTCCAGAGTTACCCTTCCCTTGGAAAGGCCGAGCCTCCTCAGTGTTTTAACTACCTTTTCTGATTGACAAAAGTGGCCCAAATGCTGAGCTCTTCTCTCTGGATTTCTACCAAGGGATATTGACCCTTGACAATTTCTTGCAACTTGTTAGCTTTTCTTTGTTTTAGAAAGAAGCTTTTTGTTTGTTTCTGGTTTGTTTTGAGACAGAGTCTTACTCTGTTGCCTGGGCTGGAGTGCAGTGGCACAATCTCGGCTCACTGCAGTTTCCACCTCCTGGGTTCAAGCAATTCTCATGCCTCAGCCTACCGAGTAGCTGAGGCTACAGGCATATGCCACCATGCCTGGCTATTTTTTGTATTTTTAGTAGAGACAGGGTTTTGCCATGTTGGTCAAGCTGGTCTAGAACTCCTGGCCTCAAGTGATCCACCTGCCTCAGCCTCCCAACGTGCTGGGGTTATAGGCATGAGCCTCCACACCTGGCCAGAAGCTTTTTATATTCCATATGGATTATTTCAGTTGTGTTTGGTGGGAGGGTAGTTCCAAATTATCTAGTTAACTATTTCTGTATGTGAAAGTTCTCTACTTGCTCTAACATTGAAGAATACCTTGGTATCTCTTTAGGGGACTGATGAATGCAGGAGGACAAATACCACAGATGATCTGCAATCGTATATAATAATACAAAGTAGACTGATTTTGAGTTTTTTTCTTGTAATTCAATACTGTGGCCCTTAAAACTGTACATAATAATTTGCTCCAGAATTTCTGATCCCAGAAAGCTGCCTATGGAAATAATTAATTATAGATGTTTGAAATTATTCATTTATAAAGGAATTTTTAACAAAACTGGTAATTAACAGAAGACTAGTTAAAATAAAATAGGCTTCTCTCATAGGATAAGATATTGCACAGCCATTAATACTATAGGATAATATCTAATGGCATAGAGAAGTCATACCATAATGAGAATTGAAACTAGTCAATCATAATATGAACCCTTTTAATATAGTTACATATGCTGGAAATATCACTGAAAATATATTGACTAAAATGCTAAAAGTGGTTATCTCAGGGTTGTGAGATAACTAGTGCTTTTATCTACTGCCTTTTGCTTTTTAATATTTTTGTAATTTTGAAAATTATATACTTATAATTTTCTAAAATGAACATTTATCACTTTTGTAATGGAAAGTGAACTACAAAATAAAATGCTACAAGTGAAACCAGATGTTTTTATTATGTTGTGTTGGAAAATTTATCAATGTAAATAGCCCATAATTTAGATTAAAGAAGTCTTTTTGAATATCTAATATATGTCAGCCTCTTTCATACATATATTTTCACTAATGCTTATAAGTGCTCAATTTTCAGTCACAATGTAGTAATTAGTAATTGAAACAATCTAGACTGTTCAAAAGGAAGTCAAGTGGACAGATTGATTGGTACAAGGTGAATGGTATGATTTTCATAGTCAGCAAATTCCTCCAACAAAGGCCAGATAATGGGCAAGGTGAGCTCTTCCAGACATTATAATTTACCCTAATAGGATAGATGTTGAGTTATAAAAATGTCATAAATACTGTAAAAATGAGAAATATGAGAATGGAAAAATAACAGCAATATTCATATACTCTACTGCAGCAATAGTTAACATCTTGGAATATGCAGGTGATTGGATTATTGATTCCAACCATCTGCTTCCTTTCCTGTAAGAGGATTATACATGTGATCTGCAGTGGCTTTCCAAAGTCAGAGTATAGTTCTTTGACCTGCTTTGGCCAATGGGATGTGAACAGGAGTAATATCCACCACAGATGAGCCAAACCTTTAAGAGCTATTAGATGTTTCAGCTCTATCCTGTTTGTTTCCCTTTGCCACAAGAATGACATGTCCTAAAAAGAGGCTGCTCCTTCAGGCTAGCCCTGGAATGAGATGATACATGAAGCAGAGCCACCACCACTGATTTGCAGACACCAACATGCAATGTGAATGAGAAATAAATGTATATTATAGTAAGCCATGAGATTAGGTGGTGGGGGGTGCTGTTTGTTATCACAGCAAAGCTGACTAATACATTGTTTCCTCAAAAATACAATAGCAGCTCTCTTAACCAAGCTCCACTTAACTGACTTTCCAGATTGACACATGTTCTCCTTTCCTTCCTTTTTTTTTCTAACTTTTCTTTTGAGAAAGTCTTACTCTGCTGCCCAGGCTGAAGTGGAGTGGTGCGATCATAACTCACTGCAGCCTCGACCTCCTGGGCTCAAGAAATCCTCCCACCTCAGCCTTCCAAGTAGCTGGGACTACAGGCATGTGCCACCACGCCCAGCTATTTTTTTTTTTTTTTTGAGATGGAAACTTGCTCTGTCACCCTGGCTGGAGTGTAGTAGTATGATCTCAGTTTACTGCAACCTCTGCCTCTTGGGTTCAAGCAATTCTCCTGCCTCAGCCTCCTGAGTAGCTGGGATTATAGGTGCAAGCCACCACACCTGGCTAATTTTTGTATTTTTTAGTAGAGACGGGGTTTTGCCATGTTTGGCTGGTCTCTATCCCCTGCCCTCAGGTGATCCACCTACCTTGACCTCCCAAAGTGTGGGATTACAGGTGTGAGCCACCATGCCTGGCCAGCCAATTTTTAAATTTTTTGTAGAGGTGGGGTCTCACTATGTTGCCCAGGCTGGTCTTGAACTCCTGTGCTCATGTGATCCACCTGCTTCAGCCTTTCAAAGTGCTGGGATTACAGGCATGAGCCACTGTGCCCAGCTCTCTTGTCTGTCTTTAAAACATATTGACAATGTCCATGGCACATTGCATACTCAAAGCTTGTAGGCCACTCTCCAGGATAGGTGCTCACTGCTGCCTGATCAACTGACCAAGTGCAAGTCCTAATCCAGATCAAGACAGGTGAGAGGGTTGTGCAACAAACCAGTTTGAGGTTCTGGAGTGGTTGGCTGTGACGCAGTATCACATAATTGTCAAGTGAGAGAGCTTGGGAATAAAGCTATGCAAGACCAGATCCCAACTCTACCTTTAGGGGGTGTGTGCCTTTGGTCAAATTATTGAGAGACAGGACTAGCTGGATTTTCTAGGCCAACTAAGAATCCCTAAGCCTAGCTGGGAAGGTGACTGCATCCACCTTTAAACACAGGGCTTGCAACTTAGCTCACACCATTCAGGTGGTAAAGAGAGCGCACTAAAAAGCTAATTAGGCAAAAACAGGAGGTAAAGAAATAGCCAATCATCTACTGTCTGAGAGCACAGTGGGAGGGACAATGATCTGGATATAAACCCAGGCATTCAAGCCAGCAACGGCTACCCTCTTTGGGTCCCCTCCCTTTGTATGGGAGCTGTTTTCACTCTATTAAATCTTGCAACTGCACTCTCTTCTGGTCCGTGTTTGTTATGGCCGGAGCTGAGCTTTTTAGCTCACCGTCCACCACGGCTGTTTGCCGCCTTTGCAGGCCTGACGCTGACTTCCATCCCTCCGGTTCCGGCAGGGTGTCCGCTGTGCTTCTGATCCAGCAAGGCGTCCATTACTGCTCCCAATCTGGCTAAAGGCTTGCCATTGTTCCTGCACGGCTAAGTGCCCAGGTTCATCCTAATCAAGCTGAACACTAGTCACTGGGTTCCACAGTTCTCTTCCATGACCCATGGCTTCTAATAGAGCTATAACACTCACCACATGGCCCAAGATTCCATTCCTTGGAATCCCTGAGGCCAAGAACCCCAGGTCAGAGAACACGAGGCTTGCCACCATGTTGGGAGCTCTGGGAGCAAGGATCCCCCGGTAACATCACTAACACAGACACCAATATTGAGAGTTACTGGTTTTCAAAGAATTCAAAGAATCTTTCAGTGAAGAAGAAATTGTTATCTGGTTTTTATAATGCTTCTCATACTACAATTACCTAAGTTTAAAAACCAAACTTTTGCAAATATTTTATTTTGTTTTATTTTTCACTGTGGAGGATGTCATACTTAAAATTAGAGAAAATGGCATAATCCTCCCCCAGGTACTCATGACCTAGCTTGACTAATCATCAGCTGTGGCCAATCTTGTTTCCCCTAGTCACTTGTCTCCCTATTCCAACACATACACGCGCTTACTCCCTGTCTTCTCTTCAATTCTTGCACTGGGCTGTTTAAAGGAAATTCTAGACATCGTAATTTTTTTTTTTTTTTTGAGACAGCGTCTCTCTCTGTTGCCCAGGCTGGAGTACAATGGCATGATCTCGGCTCATTGCAACTTCCACCTCCCAAGTTCAAGTGATTCTCCTGCCTCAGCCTCCCAAGTAGCTAGGACTACAGGCATGTGCCACCATGCCTGGCTAATTTTTTTGGATTTTTGTGGAGACGGGGTTTCACCATGTTGGCTAGGCTGGTCTCGAACTCCTGACGTCAGGTCATCTGCCCGCCTCAGCCTTCCAAAGTGCTGGGATTACAAGTGTGAGCCACTGCGCCCAGCCTGTTGCTATGACTCTTAAAACTTTTCTCAAAGTTTCCCTCTTTTTTTTTTTTTTTAACATAACCCCTGTAAATCCTTTGTCCATGAGTAATCCGTTGTGACCATGTTGCAAATGTCAGGGTCCTTAGCTTTTCTCACCCTTTAGTGAACACTGCTTTGGGTGTTCCCTTGGTGTCAGGCCAGCCTCACACCTCCGGTGAGTGGTCACGCAGGCAACCATTTCCACCTACGTTAAGTGCATCATCTGAAAACTCATTTCCTTGAGACCTTTATGATAGTAAGTAGGGAATTGAACTCCTCAAGGCTTTTTGGTCTTGTTGGTCTCAAGAAAGGAGGTTTTCAAGAAACCTGTTGGATGACTCAACATGAGGCTCCAGGGGTGATAAAGACCCTGAGGTCCCTGATCCATGTAGAAGTTTTAGAAATAAAATTGTTTCAGAAAATGTAGAATGGGCAAATGCAGCATGTATAAATGGAAATATTACTTTCTATGATATGCAATTTAAAGTGTGAGTAACTAAATAAACTAGATATACATAAATATAACTATTTTTTCTTTTCTTTTTTTTTTTTTTGTGACAGAGTCTCGCTCTGTCTCTCAGGCTGGATTGCAGTGTGCAATCTCGGCTGACTGAAACCTTTGCCGCCCAGGTTCAAGCAATTCTCCTGCCTCAGCCCCCCCGAGTAGCTGGAACTACAGGAGGGCACCACCACGCCCAGCTAAATTTTGCATTTTTGTAGAGATGGGGTTGGCTTGTCTCTATACCATGTTGACCAGGCTGTTCTCGAACTCCTGACCTCAGGTGATCCACCCACCTGGGCCTCCCAAAGTGCTGGGATTACAGGCTGAGCCACTGCGCCCAGCCAACATAACTACTTTTTCTATGACTCAGAAGTTTTGTATACTTGTGATGAACTAAAGTTGGAAAAACTGAGCTTTGCATAAGGAGCAGTCTTGCCTGGGGTTACATAAGGTGCTGTTCCAGTTATAAGACAGACTCATGCCCTGAGACGGCCCCGCCTCCCCTCGTCCTGCTACGTTATGTCTTTGACTTTGTGAAGTCACTCCTCCTGTCACTGCCCTTGATCAGGTCTCTCACATGCCTCACATAAAGAACTCTGTGAAGATCCCCTGGATTTGGTCCCTGGTTATTGGCCATCCCCTGGTACCATCCGGTTTACCTGCTTTTATCTGAGTCTCTGCTGGCTTCCCACCAACTCACTTCCCCTAGCTGCACACACCCTTCATGCTACGTGGGAGCAATTGTTGACATGAAAATTCAAAAAGATGAGACAAATACAACTCCAACAACCTCAAGCCTCAAGAGTCAGAGAGTTAACTTCCTTTTCATTTCCTCCCTTAGCCAGGAGGGGTGTTCCAGTGGCTTCTGCTTGGCTTTTCCTACTGCAATAGACTTATCCTCTAAGTCAGGGAGCAATTCCATGGCAGTGAGGCCATCTGCTCCATCTACACATCCAAAAACTGGAGAAATGACCCTGAATGATTGCTGCTGCCCTATGCCTTGGGGCTGTTGTTGACTCTGATTAGTTTCATTTATCACCTGATACTGTGAGAACCCTGATTGGTGAACCAACCTGGTGGTCTGTGTATCAAGGAATTGCTTTTATCACAGAGCCACGGTCAATTGTAACAGAAAATTTTGGGGATTACTCTTCACTTGGCACAGTTACCTGCCAAAATCATCACAGATTCTTTTGTGGAAGACTAGCAGAAAGGTGCACACTATGTACTTGTCCTATTAAAGCTCGCCAGGGGCCTCTTAAGTCTGGAAATGGAATGGGTGAGGGGCTGCAACTCTCGTGAAGCTGGGCCTCAAGTTACCAGACCTAGGTACATTTGATTATATGGTTCATATGCAATTGGAGTAATGCTGTTGACCAAATATTTCCCATGCTCCACCTTTGGGGCACATGGTTAGTTGCACTTCCTGGTTCTGTTGTGGTTGGGTGGGACCACATGGCTAGTCCTGGCCAATCAGTTGTAAACAGATGATGTGCGTCACTTCAGGGCCAGAGCATCTAATTACCAATTTATCACCCTCTGGAGCTCTCTGTCTTTTCGTTTTTGAGTTGGGCAATGTTCAAGATTATGACTGCTCCATCAGCCTAGTTCCTAGCATGAAAAGATGGAAAGTGAAGAGGCCCCAGCAACAAATAAACATCCAGCACGAATAAGAAATAAATCTTTCTTGTTATTATGTTATTCTATGTTATGTTATTCTATGTCATTATGATTTTGACATAGCCTAGCATATCTTGATTGATACAAAAATTGATGCCTAGAGATGAAGGATCTTTACAAAAACCGGGTTTTGTGGCATTGGCTTAGGGATCAGGTGATGGGGCAAGGAAACTAATTTTGGAACTGGTTTTCCATTGGTACATTTGACAAAACCATCACCCACAATAACTTGAAAGGTAGATAATAAACCTTGCATGCTTGTAGCTCCAGGAGAAGAGACTAGAAAACAAAATATTAATGTTGGCTGCATATGACATGCTAATTTAAGGAAGAGATGTACCAAGAAAACAATGAATTAATTTGTAGGGCAGGAATGGAAGGGAAAAGAGAGTATAGAAACTCAGGAATTTGCAGGATTGGGAGTCGATTTTTTTTTTCTTTTTTTTTTTTTGAGATGGAGTCTCGCTCTGTCGCCCAGGCTGGAGTGCAGCGGCGTGATCTTGGCTGACTGCAAACTCCGCCTCCTGGGTTCACGCCATTCTCCTGCCTCAGCCTCCCAAGTAGCTGGGACTACAGGCACCCGCCACCAGGCCTGGCTAATTTTTTGTATTTTTAGTAGAGACGGGATTTCATCGTGTTAGCCAATGTGTTTTATTTCCAATTAATAAACTATAGAATTTAGAGGAAGTTTAAACAACAAAAAAGACTATTAGAACTCATATTTCAGGCAAGGATCCAACCAAGATTATTTCTGTCACATCCATCATTAAAATCTCTGAATAGATTTAGTTGTCACCCAGTAAATCCTCTCAACTGGATGTAATGGTTCAGGAAGAAAAGAACAAAAGTGCTGCCCTCTGTATTAGTTCGCCAGGGTTGTCATAATAAAGTACCAGAAACTGGGTGATTTAAACAACAGAAATTTGTTTTCTCACACTTCTGGAGACTAGAAGTGCAAGATCAAGGCGTTGGCAGGGTTGGTTTCATTATGAGGCCTCTCTCCCTTGCTTCTAGATGGCCATCTTCTTCTTTTGTCTTCTTATTGTCTCTCCTTCATGTGTGTCTATGTCCTTTTTTTTTTTTTTTTTTTTTTTTTTTTTTTGAGATGGAGTCTCACTCTGTCGCCCAGGCTGGAGTGCAATGGTGCCATCTTGGCTCACTGCAGCCTCCGGCTCCTGGATTCAAGCAATTCTCCTGCTTCAGCCTCCCAAGTAGCTGAAATTACAGGCACATGCCACCACATCCAGCCAATTTTTGTATTTTTATTAGAGATGGGTTCTCACCATGTTGGCCAGGCTTGTCTTGAACTCCTGACTTCACCATGCCTTGGCCTCCCAAAGTGCTGGGATTACAGGCATGAGCCACCACTCCCGGCCTTGTCCTAATATATTTTTATAAGGACACTGGTCATACTGGACTAGGGTCCACCCCATTTACCTGATTTGAACTTAATTATCTCTTTAAAGACCCCATCTCCAAATACAGTCACATTCAGAAGTATTGGGAGTTAGAACTTCAACATGTGAAATTCAGGAAGATATAATCCAGCCAATAACACTCTCTCACTGTATTAGTCCATTCTCACACTGCTATAAAGAACTACCTGAGGCTGGGAAATTTATAAAGTAAAGAGGTTTAATTGACTCACAGTTCTGCAGGCTTAGTAGGAAGCATGACTGGGAGGCCTCAGGAAACTTACAATCATGGCAGAAGGTGAAAAGGAAGTAAGCACCTTCTTCTCATGGCAGAGCAGGGGAGAGAGAGAGAGTGAAGGGGGAAGTGCCATATACTTTTTTATTTTATCTTATTTTATTTTATTTTATTTTATTTTATTATTATTATACTTTAAGTTTTAGGGTACATGTGCACAACGTGCAGGTTTGTAACATATGTATACATGTGCCATGTTGGTGTGCTGCACCCATTAACTCGTCATTTAGCATTAGGTGTATCTCCTAATGCTATCCCTCCCCCTCCCCCCACCTCACAACAGTCCCCAGTGTGTGATGTTCCCCTTCCTGTGTCCATGTGTTCTCATTGTTCAATTCCCACCTATGAGTGAGAACATGTGGTGTTTGGTTTTTTGTCCTTGCAATAGTTTGCTGAGAATGATGGTTTCCAGTTTCATCCATGTCCCTACAAAGGATGAATTCATCATTTTTTATGGCTGCATAGTATTCCATGGTGTATATGTGCCACATTTTCTTAATCCAGTCTATCGTTGTTGGACATTTAGGTTGGTTCCAAGTCTTTGCTATTGTGAATAGTGCCACTATAAACATACGTGTGCATGTGTCTTTATAGCAGCATGATTTATAATCCTCTGGGTATATACCCAGTAATGGGATGGCTGGGTCAAATGGTATTTTTAGTTCTAGATCCCTGAGGAATTGCCACACTGACTTCCACAATGGTTGAGCTAGTTTACAGTCCCAGCAACAGTGTAAAAGTGTTCCTATTTCTCCACATCCTCTCCAGCACCTGTTGTTTCCTGACTTTTTAATGATTGCCATTCTAACTGGTGTGAGATGGTATCTCATTGTGGTTTTGATTTGCATTTCTCTGATGGCCAGTGATGATGAGCATTTTTTCATGTGTTTTTTGGCTGCATAAATGTCTTCTTTTGAGAAGTGTCTGTTCATATCCTTCACCCACTTTTTGATGGGGTTGTTTGTTTTTTTCTTGTAAATTTGTTGGAGTTCATTGTAGATTCTGGATATTATCCCTTTGTCAGATGAGTAGATTGCAAAAATTTTCTCCCATTCTGTAGCTTGCCTGTTCACTCTGATGGTAGTTTCTTTTGCTGTGCAGAAGCTATTTAGTTTAATTACATCCCATTTGTCAATTTTGGCTTTTGTTGCCATTGCTTTTGGTGTTTTAGACATGAAGTCCTTGCCCATGCCTATGTCCTGAATGGTATTGCCTAGGTTTTCTTCTAGGGTTTTTATAGTTTTAGGTCTAACATTTAAGTCTTTAATCCATCTCGAATTAATTTTTGTATAAGGTGTAAGGAAGGGATCCAGTTTCAGCTTTCTACATATGGCTAGCCAGTTTTCCCAGCACCATTTATTAAATAGGGAATCCTTTCCCCATTGCTTGTTTTTCTCAGGTTTGTCAAAGATCAGATAGTTGTAGATACACGGCATAATTTCTGAGGGCTCTGTTCTGTTCCATTGGTCTATATTTCTGTTTTGGTACCAGTACCATGCTGTTTTGGTTACTGTGGCCTTGTAGTATAGTTTGAAGTCAGGTAGCATGATGCCTCCAGCTTTGTTCTTTTGGCTTAGCATTGACTTGGCGATGCGGGCTCTTTTTTGGTTCCATATGAACTTTAAAGTAGTTTTTTCCAATTCTGTGAAGAAAATCATTGGTAGCTTGATGGGGATGGCATTGAATCTATAAATTACCTTGGGCAGTATGGCCATTTTCCCGATGTTGATTCTTCCTACCCATGAGCATGGAATGTTCTTCCATTTGTTTGTATCCTCTTTTATTTCATTGAGCAGTGGTTTATAGTTCTCCTTGAAGAGGTCCTTCACATCGCTTGTAAGTTGAATTCCTGGTATTTCATTCTCTTTGAAGCAATTGTGAATGGGAGTTCACTCATGATTTGGCTCTCTGTTTGCCTGTTATTGGTGTATAAGAATGCTTGTGATTTTTGCACATTGATTTCATATCCTGAGACTTTGCTGAAGTTGCTTATCAGCTTAAGGAGATTTTGGGCTGAGACAATGGGGTTTTCTAGATATACAATCATGTCGTCTGCAAACAGGGACAATTTGACTTCCTCTTTTCCTAATTGAATACCCTTTATTTCCTTCTCTTGCCTGATTGCCCTGGCGAGAACTTCCAACACTACGTTGAATAGGAGTGGTGAGAGAGGGCATCCCTGTCTTGTGCCCGTTTTCAAAGGGAATGCTTCCAGTTTTTGCCCATTCAGTATGATATTGGCTGTGGGTTTGTCATAGATAGCTCTTATTATTTTGAGATACATCCCATCAATACCTAATTTATTGAGAGTTTTTAGCATGAAGTGTTGTTGAATTTTGTCAAAGGCCTTTTCTGCATCTATTGAGATAATCATGTGGTTTTTGTCTTTGGTTCTGTTTATATGCTGGATTACATTTATTGATTTTCATATGTTGAACCAGCCTTGCATCCCAGGGATGAAGCCCACTTGATCATGGTGAATAAGCTTTTTGATGTGCTGCTGGATTCGGTTTGCCAGTATTTTATTGAGGATTTTTGCATCGATGTTCATCAAGGATATTGGTCTAAAATTCTCTTTTTTGATTGTGTCTCTGCCTGGCTTTGGTATCAGGATCAGGTCTCATGAGAACCCATTCACTATCATGAGAATAGAAAGGGAGAAATCTGCCTCCATTATCCAATCACCTCCTACCAGGCCCCTCCTCCAATTTGACATGAGATTTTGGCAGGGACACAAATCCAAACCATATTACTCACCAAGCATGATGGGCTCCTTTTTCCTGGTACGAAATAGACAGATAGGTGGAGCTGTGTCAAGAAAAGAATGGTGGGCCAGGCTTGGTGGCTCATGCCTGTAATCTCAACACTTTGGGAGGCTAAGGCAGGCAGATTGCTTGAGCTCAGGAGTTCGAGACCAGCCTGGGCAACATGGTGAAACCCTGTTTCTACCAAAAAATAATAATAATAATACAAAAATTAGCCAGGCATAGTGGCATGTGCCTATATTCCCAGCTACTTAGGCTGAGGTGGGAGGATTTCTTGAGCCCAGGAAACAGAGGTTACAGTGAACTAACTTGTGCCACTGCACTCCAGCCTAGGTGACAGAGTGAGACCCTGTCTCAAAAAAAAAAAAAAAAAAGAAAAAAAAAGAAAAAAAAAAAAAGGAAAAGAAAAGAACTATGTGCCAGGAGCAGTGGCTCATGACTGTAATCCCAGCACTTTGGGAGGCTGAGGCGGAAGGATCACTTGAGGTCAGGAGTTCAAGACCAGCCAGGCCAACATGGTGAAATCCTGTCTGTACCGAAAATACAAAAAATTAGTTGAACATGGTGGTGCACACCTGTAATCCCAGCTACTTGGGAGGCTGAGGCATGAGAATCACTTGAACCCAGGAGGCAGAGGTTGCAGTGAGCCAAGATCATGTCATTGTACTCCAGCCTGGTGACAAAGTGAGATTCTGTCTCAAAAACAAAACAAAACAAAACAAAAAACTATTAATATGCTGTTGCAAATGAAGCTGATTAGAATTAGATAGTGCCACATAAATAAAGAACCTGGATATGACATTAAATGTTCCTTAAAAACCTCCAGCATTCTTTTTTTTTTTTTTGAGATAGAGTCTCGCTCTGTCACCCAGGCTGGAGTGCAGTGGCGTAATCTTGGCTCGCTGCAACCTCCACCTCCCAGGTTCAAGTGATTCTCCTGCCTCAGCCTCCTGAGTAGCTAGGATTACAGGCGTGTGCCACCACACCTGGCTAATTTTTGTATTTTTAGTAGAGATGGAGTTTTGCCATGTTAGCCAGGCTGGTCTTGAACTCCCAACCTCAGGTGATCAACCCACCTCGGCCTCTGAAAGTGCTAGGTTACAAGCATGAGCCACTGAGCCTGGACCAAAAAAACCCCTCCAGCCTTCTATAGACAAGAAACAAGCTCAGAACACTGCTCAGCTTCCAAAGAGTGCAGTCTCCAATGCCCACTCCTGAAAATGCCAAACAGGATAATAGAAAGGGAGGCACCCTTTCCCAGAAGCTAGTCAAAAGGTATAGAGAATAATGAATTGGGAACCCCTCCTAAAGATAAGAATAAGTGTCTAATTCAAGGAATATTTTCTACACACAGGGCAGCAGGACCTCACAGTATCTTGCCATGGACCAATGTTCATTCTGTATCTTCATTCATTCCCTTTTGATGGAATGTCTTTGTGGTAACCTCTCTCTGTTCCATCATTGTGTATTGGATTTGTAAGGAGCAGATAATTTGTCTTTTTAGTTCATAGAATCTTTCATGTTGAAATGAAAAGTCACTAGACAGTAATTTTCAGTCATACAAAAATATAAAGATCTCTAGTAAATGCATGGGCAAATATAGAAATCAGTATTATTGTAATTTTGGTTTGTAAATCACTTTTTATCTTCCACAGGATTTAAAAGACAAATACATAAAAATTACAAATCTATATTAATTAGTACACAATGTATAAAGATGTAATTTTGACATTAATACCATAAAGTAGGGGAAAGAAGAGCTTTATAGGAGTGTTTGTATGGTATTGAAATTAAGTTTGCATCAATTTAAATTAGATTGCTATAACTTTAGGATGTTATATGTAATCCCCAAGGTAATCAAAAATTGTTCTATCAAAAAATATTGATATAACTAATGCAGGAACAGAAGGCCAAACACTACATGTCCTCACTTATAAGTGGGAGCTGAACAATGAGAACACATGGACACAGGGACCCCTGGGGACTGTTGTGGGGGTGGGGCATTGGGGGAGAGAGCATGAGGAAAAATAGCTAATGCATTCTGGGCTTAATACCTAGGTGATGGGTTGATAGGTGTAGCAAACCACCATGGCACATGTTTACCTATGTAACAAACCTGCACATCCTGCACATGTACCCCAGAACTTAAAATAAAATAAAATAAATATTGATAGAATAAATACAAAAGGAAATGAGAAAGGAATCAAAATGTGGCACTGAAAAAATGTAACTAAACACAGCAGATGAGAGTAAAGGAGCAAGTAAGAGCCAACAAAGCTATAAGACATACGAAAACAAATAATAAAGCAGCAAAAGCAAATCTTTCCTTATCAGTGATTACTTTAAACATAAATGGGTTAAAATCCCCAGTCAAAAGGAATAGAACGGCGGAATGGACTAAAAAAAAAACATGATTCAACTGTATGCTGTCAATAAGAGACTCATTTTAGAGCTAAGGACACAAACAGATAGAAAATGACAGGATAGAAAAATGTATTCCATGCAAATAGTAACTAAAAGATTGACTGGGGTGGCTATAATAAAATCAGACAAAATAGACTTCAAATTAAAAATGGTTACTAGAGACAAAGGAAGACATTATATATTGATAAAATGGTTAAAACAGCAATAAGATATAACAATTATAAACATATGAACCAAACATCACATCTCCAAAATATATGAAGCAAACACTGACAGAATTGAGGGGAGAAACAGACAGTTCTACAATAATAATTAGACACTTGGCCAGGTGCAATGGCTCATGCCTGTAATCCCAGCACTTTGGGAGGCTGAGGCGGGCAGATCACCTGAGATCAGGAGTTTGAGACCAGCTTGACCAACATGGAGAAACCCCATCTATATTAAATACAAAAATAGCTGGGCGTGGTGGCACATGCCTGTAATCCCAGCTATTCGGGAGGCTGAGGCAGGAGAATCACTTGAACCCAGGAGGCAGAGTTTGCAGTGAGCTGAGATCACACCATTGCACTCCAGCCTGGGCAACAACAGCGAAACTCCATCTCAAAAAAATAAAAATAAAAATAACTGGACACTTAAATATTCCACTTTCAATGATGAATACCACAACCAGATCAAAGATCAATAAGGAAATAGAAGACTTGAGAAATACTGCAATGGACAGAATGTTTATGTTCCCCCAATATTCATATCTTGAAATCCAACCCCAAACATAATGGTATTAGGAGGTGGGGACTTTGGAAGGTTAGGTTATGACAGCAGATTCCTCATGAATGAGAACAGTGCCCTTACAAAAGAGACCCCAGACAGATCCCTCAGTCCTCCAACCACATGAGGTAACAGTGAAAAGATAGCTGTCTACAAGGAAGCAGGCCCTCACCAGACGCCAAATTTACTGATGCCTTCATCTTGGACTTCCAAGCCTCCAGAACTGTGAGAAATAAGTTTGCATTGTTCATAAGCCACCCAGTTTATTATGTTTTGTTGTAACAGTCTAAATAGACTAAAACAAACACTATAAACCAACTGAACCTAACAGACATGTATAAGAGAATATAACATTTTTCTCAAGAGCACATGGAGCATTCTGTAAGAGAGACCACATTATAGGTCACAAAACTAGTCAATAAATTTTAATAGATGGAAATCTATTAAAGTATCTTTTTTATCACAATAGAATTAAACTAGAAATCAATAACAGAAGAAAAGCTGGAAAAATCACAAAAACATGGATATTAAACAACATACTCTTACATAACCAACGGGTCAAAAAAGAAATCACAAAGGAAAATACAAAATATCTTGAGACAAATGAAAACAAAAATGCAGCATGCCAGGCTGGGTGTGGTGGCTCAGGCCTGTAATCCCAGCACTTTGGGAGGTCAAGGCAGGCAGATCGCTTGAGTTCAGGAGTTTGAAACCCGCCTGGGCAATATGGTGAAACCCCGTCTCTACCAAAAACACAAAAAATTAGCCAGGCGTGGTGGTGCATGGCTGCGGTCCCAGCTACTTGGCATGAATTGGTGGGAGGATGGCTTGAGCCTGGGAGACAGAGGTTGTAGTAAGCCAAGATCGTGCCACTGCACTCCAGCCTGGGTGACAGGTAATAATCTGTTTCAAAAAGAAAGAAAAAAAAAAGCAGCATGACAAAACTTACAGGAGCACTCCTAAGAGGGAAATTTATAGCTATAAATGATTACTTAAAAAAGGAGAAAGACCTCAAATCAACAACCTAACTTTACACCTTAAGGGACTAGAAAAAGCACAAATTAAACCCAAAGCTGTCAGAAGGAAGGAAATAATAGTCAAGCAGAGACAAATAATACAAGAAATAGAAAACCTATGGAAAAGCACTGAAGACAAAAGGCCAATATTTTATCATTTCACTTATATGAGGTACCTAGAATAGGCAAAGTCATAGATTCAGAAAGTAGAATAGCGGTTACCAGTGGCTGTTGTGAAGGGAGAATAGGGAGTTATTGTTTAATGGGTGCAGAATTTCAATTTTTAAAAATTCTAGAGATGGTTAGTGGTGATAGTTGCACAACAATTTTTTTTGTTTGTTTGTTTTTGAGACAGAGTCTGGCCCTGTCGCCCAGGCTGGAGTGCAGTGGCGCGATCTCGGCTCACTACAAGCTGCGCCTCCAGGGTTGACGTCATTCTCCTGCCTCAGCCTCCCGAGTAGCTGGGACTACAGGCGCTCACGACCACGCCCGGCTGATTTTTTGTATTTTTAGTAGAGATGGGCTTTCACCGTGTTAGCCAGGATGGTCTCGATCTCCTGACCTCGTGATCCACCCACCTCGGCCTCCCAAACAATGTTAATATACTTAATGCCACAAAATTGTATACTTAAAAATGGTTAAAACGATACATTTTATGCCATGTATATTTTATCACAATTTAAAAGATCATTCATCAGGATCAAACAATAGTCTTCAGTTAAGCTCCATGCTTTCAGATAAGAATTTAGGGAACTGATTTTGTCATTATGTTCTAAGTTATACATTTGGAAGAAGTGACCCTATGCTGGGTGGTTTGAATTCCTCACACCCCTCATAATAATCTATGGAAGATGGTATTTGTTCTCCTAGAATCTTGGCCTCAATTGGACACTTAATTTTATTTGACTAGAAGCAAGAACTTAACTCTTTTTTATTTACTTTTAATTTTTTCGCTGCTCCAAAGGTACATCAGGGAACTTAACTCTTTTGTAACTAGATGGAAAAGGCTACTAGATTCCCACTCTGGAATATGAATGAGAATTTCACTGTCCTATTTTCATGGCGTCATGATTGCCAAACACCTTCTCTTCCCTTGGGGTTTTAGCCCTCAGTCCATTCTTTTTTACCACTTTCTATGTCATTTGAGATTCTGGGATACAAAATAAACAAACAAACAAAAACCCCAGCCAATTCTGAATAACTGAAGCAAAGTATATTTATGAATTAGAGGAATAATCTATTTTGAATATGCTTTCCAAACAGATGGGCTTGTAAATAGAAGTGACCAAAAGAGCTATAGAGGATAAAGAAGAAGGAAAGAGGAAATGTAGCAAATGTCCTCTGCTCATCAGCTACACTGGCTATGCTGAAAGGCTTCTTTTTTTTTTTTTTTTTTTTTTTTGAGACAGAGTCTCACTCTGTCCCCTAGGCTGGAGTGCCGCGGCGCGATCTTGGCTCATTGCAACTTCCGCCTCCCGGGTTTAAGCAGTTGAAGTGATTCTTGTGCCTCAGTCTCTGGAGTAGCTAAGATTACAGGCACGCACCACCACGCCTGGCTAACTTTTATATTTTCAGTACAGACAGGGTTTCACTATGTTGGCCAGGCTGGTCTTGAACTCCTTACCTCAGGTGATCCACTCACCTCAGCTTCCCCAAGAGCTGGGATTATAGGCATGAGCCACTGCACCTGGCCATGTGCTGAAAGGCTTCTGACTTATCCTAGTGTTCTTGCAATATTAGCTCAATTTTCAAAGATTCAGAAAAAAAAAATCTGATTGATCAAACTGAGGTCACGTGTCCAGCATCCTGGTTCTACCATTATCTATGTGCTACTTCTGTAATTGGTGACAGAAAATCGACAAAAAATTATATATATTTATCAGGTGTAACATGATATTTGGAATAAGTATACATTCTTTCCATAGGAGATTTTAAAAAAGAAATACCTATATATTGTGGAATGGCTGAATTAAGCTAATTAACATTTATATTACCTCATACACACATAAACAGAAAAGAAAAAAAAAAGCAGATATATTTCCAACAGGCATCCAATAGCCTTTATGCCATTGTGTGTTGTAACTCTCTGAGAGATGGAAATGGTATCTGGCATTTCCCACACTTCTGAAGCAGGGTCCCACAGAGAATGGTTTGGAAAAACCAAAGTGAGGAGGTAACTGGACTTTTCCTTCCACACCTAGATTATCTCCCTACACAGAGTAAGCAGTTCTATCCAGCATGCACTTGTGGAACTACCAGGAACTACCCATTTCTATGGGCAAAGGATGCTTCTCAGGGACCTCTGGTTTTTGCAACTCTCCCACCTGGCATTCCATAAAGGTGGTTCCCATACCCTTGCTGAGGCCAGCATTCATCCTGGGCCACCTGTCCTGTCTCACCTCATACCAAATTGTTCACTGATTCTGATATGCTGGCCTCCAACCTTGCACAGATCTTCTTTACTTAGCCTCATCTCACCCCTTATAACTGAAGCTGGAAATTGTACTTCTCACTTCCTCTGAGGTACGTTGAATAACTAGTCCCAACTCTTTAACCCGCGCTGCTTTCATATTCTTGAAAGTGCCTCATTGTTGGGAGTCAAAAATCTCCAGCTCTGAGGATTTATTTATTTACTCTTTTATTTCTGTCCTTTTTTTCTCAGTGTGTTTTGAAGCTTAAAATTTTTTTTAATTTTTTTCATAGAACAGCCAAATCCAATTTTTTAATTTTAATTAAAAAAATTTTTTTTTCATAGAACATGAAGCTTTGTTATTATGTATATACACATTTAGGATTCTCATGTTATCTTGATTAATTAACCCTTTTATCATTATGAAATGTCCCTCTTTATCTATGGTAATATCCTTACCTTAAGATGTCTTTGATAATATTAATAGTATAGGCATGCCAGTTTTTTTTTTAATAATTAGTGGTTTTAGGGTAGAGCTTATCCATTTTGTTTTCAACTCATATCTTCTGTAAATAACAGTAATGTTTTGCTCTTTTATACAGTTTCCCAATTTATTCCTTTTATTTAATTTGTTTTTCACTTAATGTAATTTTTATGTGGTTGGGTTTAAGAATACAATCTTGCTATTGGTTTATTTGTGCTATTTGTTCTTTGTATTGTCTCTCTTGGTTTCTTTTGGGTCAAAAGGGCATTATTTTTTTAGTACCACATTTCATCTCCTTTATTGGTATTTTATCTACAGCTCTTTCTACTATGTTTGTAGTAGTTTCTCTGAAGATTACAATATGCAAACTTAATTTATCATGTCTACTTTTTCTTTTTTTTCTTTCTTTCCTCTTTTGAGACAGAGCCTCACTCTGTTGCCCAGGCTGGAGCGCAATGGTATGTGCGATCAGGGCTCACTGCAACCTCCACCTCCTGGGTTCAAGTGATTCTCGTGCCTCAGCCTCCCGAGTAGCTGGGACTACAGTTGTACACCACCACACCCAGCTAATTTTTGTATTTTAAGTAGAGGTGGGGTTTCCCCATGTTAGCCAGGTTTGTCTTGAACTCCTGGCCTCAAGTGATCTGTCTGACTAGACCTCCCAAAGTGCTGGGATTACGGGTGTGAGCCACTGTGACTGGCATATCAAGTCTACTTTGTATTAGTATTATACCATTTCAATTATAATGTTAGAATCTTAAGACAGGATACTCCCACTTACCCTCTCTCATTCTTTTCCTTCAAATAATGAATAATTTCATGTTGGAATTATTCAAATAATTTTCTCCCCCTACCTCCTTGTCTAATCCTTTCCTTCTGGGGCTCTGATTATAGGTATATTAGATGGTTTTACAGTGTCCCACAAGTCATTGAGATTCTGTTCAATTTTCTTTTCTTATTTTTTTGGCAGAGTCTCGATCTATTGGCCAGGCTGGAGTGGAGTGCAGTGGCGTGATCTCGGCTCACTGCAACCTCCATCTCCTGGGCTCAAACAATTCTCCTGCCTCAGCTTCCTGAGTAGCTGGGATTATAGGTGTGTGCCACCACGCCCAGCTAATTGTTGTATTTTTAGTAGAGATGGGGTTTCACCATGTTAGCCAGGCTGGTCTCAAACTCCTGACCTCAGGTGATCCACCCGCCTCAGCCTCCCAAAGTGCTGGGATTACAGGTGTGAGCCACCGTGCCCGGCCTCTGTTCAATTTTCTTGATCTCTATTCTTTGTTCTTCAGTTTAGATAATTTTTGTTGACTGCCTTCAAGTTCATTCTTTCTTCTGCAGGTCTAATCTACTTTTAAGCTCTTTCAATACATTTTTGATTTCAGATATTGTATATGTTTATTTTAGGATGTGGTTCCTTTTTTTAGTTTCCATATCTCTCCTTAGTTTCCATATCTCTCCTGAAATTCCTGTCTTCTTCTTTTTTATATTTATCTTTTCCCATACATTCTTTAATATATTTATAATACTTTAAAATTCTTGTGGGCCAATTTCAACACTTGTGTCATTTGTTGGTCTGCTTCTAGTGACAATCTCCCTCTATATTGTAGGTCACATTTTTCTGCTTTTTATCATTGCTGGCAAGTTTTTATTGCCTTCTAAATATGTGGTTGATACATTTTAGAGACTTTGAATTCTTCCATCTTCCGCTTGAGAATTTTTTTTGTTCTTGGAGGAAGTTTAATCACAAGCACATCATTTTGATCCTGCGGAAACTTGATTTTAGACTTTTCAGGGCAGGTCTATTTCAATTTTGCCTTTAGTACTCAGGCATAGTCCTTAGTCCTGGAAGTAGCCGTTACTCTTAGGTGTGTCCTTTCTGGGGTTTTAATGGAAAGCCAAAGTGTTTACCAAGTTTTTCCTTTTTAAAAAGTAATTAAGTTTTTTTGCCAGGCACAGTGGCTCATGCCTATAATCCCAGCCCTTTGGGAAGCTGAGGTGGGTGGATTGCTTGGAGCCAGGAGTTCGAGACCAGCCTGGGCAACATGATGAAACCTCATCTCTACAAAAAAATATATAAAAATTAGCTGGGCGTGGCCAGGTGTGGTGGCTCACGCCTGTAATCCCAGCATTTTGGGAGGCCGAGGCGGATGGATCATGAGGTCAGGAGTTCAAGACCAGCCTGGCCCATATATAGTGAAACACTGTTTCTACTAAAAATACAAAAATTAGCTGGGCATGGTGGGGCACACCTGTAGTTCCAGCTGCTTGGGAGACTGAGGCAGAAAAATCGCTTGAACCCGGGAGGCAAAGGTTGCAGTGAGCCGAGATCATGCCACTGCACTCCAGCCTGGGCAACAGAGCAAGACTCTGTCTCAAAAAAAAAAAAAAAATTAGCTGGGCGTGGTAGTACACACTTATAGTCCCAGCTACTTGTGAGGCTGAGGCAGGAGGATCACTTGAGCCTGGGAGGTGGAGGTTGCAGTGAGCTATGATCACACCTCTGCACTCTAGCCTGGGTAACAGAGCAAGACACTGTCTCAAAATAAATAAATATTAAAAATTGACAAAAATTATATGTATTTATCATGTATAACATGATATTTGGAATATGTACAGATCCTTTCTGTAGGAGATGAAAGAAAATAAAAGAAATATGTATACATTGTAAAATGGCTAAATTGAGCTAATAAACTTTTATATTACCTCATATACTTATCATCTTTTTTTGGTGAGAACACCTAGAATCTATTCTCTTAGTGATTTTCAAGAATATAATACTGTACTTTGTGACTAACTATAGTCTCCACATTGTAAATAGATCTCTTGAACTGCTTCCACCTGTCTAACTGAAACTTTGCCTCCTTTGATAACCATGTTCCTTACCCCCACGTCCACCTCCCAAGATCATCTAATGTGAATTGATCATTCAATAAATGTTGTTAAACACTTAAAGAGCTGATTCTGATCTATTTTTATAAGAGATATCACTTTCGCCAAAATCTCGGATATTAACTTAGAGCAAAGATTTAATAGTTTTAAAAAATCAGCCATAACAAAATAACAAAAACAATAATATAAACAAAACCAAACCTACCAATCAAGAAATTATAGAGTCTATTTTCATAATTTCATAGACTGCCCAAGCATTTCAGCAAAACAAAGCCACACTGAAAAATATTGACAAGTTTGTATGCATAAAACTGTAAATCTTGTTTATGGGAAAAAATGCAATAAGCAGAGTTAAAATTTAAATGACAAGCCAGGAAAAAATATTTGTGATTGTGTATGACAAACAAGAAGTTAATATTACTTGATGGGATCTGAGCTCTGCACTGTTTCTCTAGCACTGGGCAGCTGTTGAAACCTCTTGTCAGTGCTTGCTTTCCTCTGGATTCCTTGGAGTCTTGCCCTGTACTGGTGCAGCTTAGGAGTCAGCCAAGAATTCGAGACGAGTTATATACAGATTTGGGGGTTCTCCCTCTGTTGGTCTCTTCTTTCTGGAATTCCTCCCCACCTCCTCAATTTCAGCTGCTCTGGAAGCCCTGATTCTGGCCTGATTCTTCATCCCAGCCTGTTGGCCTCTTTCTGCTGGAGTTGTATCCACACCTCACCCCACTCCCACCTACACCACTCCAGACCCCCAGCACCGCAGAGTCTTGGGGGTAACCTCAGTTACTGATCAAAATCAGTTCTTTAAATGTTTAACATTTATTGAATAATCAATCCTTTATTCACAGTTTAAAAGTGTAGCTCTATCATATTTAGGTGACTAGATGTGCTGATTTGTTTCTGATGTCTGTTCGTTCTGTTCCCTTAATCTGTTTATTTATCCTTCTGCTAGTCTCACAATGTTTTATTACAGTAATTTTCTTGAAGGAAAATTTGTATTATTTTAATTATTTTTATGTACAGAAAACTCAACAGTGTATATTTAACCCAGTTTAATGGCAAATTCTTTAGCCTTTGCCTTTTTGAGCTTGGCGATGCGAACCACAGACTTGGGACCCAGGACATTGCCGCCCCAGTGATGGCGGATCTCATCGTATCTGTCGTTGTAATTGGTCCTGATAGTTTCCACCAGCTTAGCCAAAGCGCCTTTGCCTTCCGAGTTAACCTGTGTGAAGGCGACAGTGGTGCAGGTCTTCCTGTGGACTAGATGGCCCAGTCTTGCCTTCCCCTTGATAATGGAGTAAGGGACCCCCATTTTACGACACAGGGCAGGCAAGAAGACAACCACCTCAATGGGATCCATGTCTTGTGCAATCACCATCGGCTGGGCTTTCTTGTTCTCCACCAAGGTGGTGACGGTATTAACTCCTGCTTGAAAGACAGATGGTTTCTTAGTGGGGACGTCCCCTTTGCCAGCAGCTTTCTTCTCAGCCAGGGCCAACAGCCTCTGCTTCTTCTCTTGCTTTGTCTCTGGTCTGTACTTGTGAGTAGATGTTTGGTGGTCCAGGGCCTGGGTGAACTGGTTAATCGCAGAAGGCACTTTCAGCTGCTTACAGAGGATGGCTCTCTGCCTCTGCAACCTGATGTAGCGGGGCCATTTCACAAAGCGGGTGAGGTCTCTTTTGGGCTGGATGTCCCGTCCAATGACAAAATTCTTAGGCCTTTTCTCAAACGGGGGATTCACCACTTTCTTGGCCTCCTGCTTCTTCACGACAGCAGGGGCCGGAGCCACCTTCTTCCCTTTGGCCTTCTTTCCTTTCGGCATCTTGGGCGGCAGGAGGAGAGACTATTACAATAATTTTATGGTACTTATTTATTTGTGTCTGGAAAGACACGGGCCTCTGCTTGTTCTTTTTTTTTTTTTTTTTTTCCCTAAAATTTCTCCAGGGTTTGCATGTATTTAACCCTGAAGATCACATTTACAATTAACTTCTCAGGTTACAGACACTGTTTGTGCTTATGTTCATACTGCATTAGATGAAAGGTTATTTTGAGAACCTGGATACAGTACGGTGCTTTGGAACTCGTGGGAGAGTACAGGGGACCGGATGGGCGCAGCGAGGTTGCAGGGGGCTTCCACTGCTGTGGTTCCGGCAGCAAAGCCTATTTAATGGGATCCACCACTTCTCTAAGGCACCTGCCCTCCTCGTTAGCCCGCGGCCGCAGACTCCAAGGCCCCGGGATAGCTGGGGTCAGAGAAATGCAGGGCTCTGGCCAGAGGGGCCCTCGGCAGCGCCCTTCGGTTCCCGTGAGGCCCAGGCAGCGGTTCCAGGCCTCCCGCTAGGGCCGCTCTCAGACTGGAGGGCGCGGAGGATACAGGGAGCCGTTTGCCTGGGTTCGCGCTCGGCTGTCCTAGCTCACGGGGCGACCTCGGAAACGTCCAGCGTCTGCCCTGTCCCCCTGCGCCGCGTCTGAGCAGCCAGCCCCGGGCCAAAGGGTCGCGTTGGTTGGGGCGTGGGGCAGCTGGAGGGCTGCAGGTCCCCAGCGCCGCCTCCCGGGCAAGGGGCGGAGGCGCGGATCGCTGAAGTCAGCCCGCCCCTGGTTCCGCGCCCTGGAGCCCGAGTGCGTCCCAGGGCCCGCCGCACACTGCGCTGGCCCGCGGCCAGTCCCCCAGCCTGCGGCTCCAAGATGCGCTTAACGCCGTCTCTCATACCCCAGAACCCTCCTTAGAAACAGGCTTACCCTGCCACCCATTCCCCATCCCCCCACACACCCCTGCAGGGCCAGCCTCAGGGGTGCATGGATTTATTCCGCAGGTGCAGCAGGAACAGAGGTCAAAAAGCTGACATCCTGGAAGGATGCCTTCCTATGTCAGGAACACTGTTACCTAAGCCCAGCTTTCCAATAGTTTTATCATCATGGCATACAGAAACCATGATAGTCTATGTAAAACACACTACGGCTAAGCTGATGAGGCTTTGCAGAGGGCCAGGGAGCACAGGCCCAGGGTCTTCAGCTACTTCCAGCCATGCCCAGTTCCAGGAGGGCTAAGGAACTCAATTTCTGAGCTCCTGAGCCCACTTGGGAAAGCTCTTGCCTGGACTCAGTGTCTCTTCACCCCACCTGATCACATGCCTCTCCGCAGTCAGGCACGTGATGCCCAGCCCCACTCCCACTCCTGGAAACCTCTATCTTTGTGTCATCAACAGGTACCGGACTGAGGAGGGAACCCTGCCCTTTCATGGACTCAGAGGTGCCCAAGGCTCACACCCAGGCCCCTGGATCCCAGCCTCTTGTGGCACTAACCAGAGGCAGGGGCAGGAAAATCCATGACAGAGAGAAATGCAGTTCAGTTTTCTTCCACGAGGTTGAAAACAAAATACTCAGAGATCCCCAGGCCTGGACTCTTTCTCACGGGAAAATATCACCTCTGTGCAACAAGTCTAAAGTTCAGAAACCTGAACCCAAGGAAACTGTAGTTCAGGGCTGGGCTGCTGGGCAGAGGGGTCGGAAGCTCCAATTTTGCTTTTTAATTAGTCCTGGGATTTGCGGGGGAGGGTGCTGTACTTAAAAAACCTTTATGTGTTTGGGCTCCGGGTTCTGTAAAGTCAAATAATATTTTTGTTTGGGGTCCCCTTTGCTCTAATTTGGGCTTTTCCACTCAGTGTGGTCTGAGCTGCTGCAGAGCGCGGCAGTGGCTGTGCCGAGTGGAGGAACCACGCTGCAGAGGGGAGCTGGGGAGGGTGGGAGACTCCAACCCTCAGAGCAGGGGCCAGATCCCTGACCAACCCACACCCCGAATCTCACTGCAGGCATCTTGAGAAAATAAACCTCAAAAAGGTCCAATTTTGATGCACAATTATGTTTCTGGAGACACTTCCAGGTCATGGATTACCACAGTCAATGAAAACATCCTCACACTTTCCCCCAGTAACTAAGTGGGCTACAATATAAATAATAAAAACCCAGCCTGTTGATTAGTTAGCCATTTTTAGAAGACAGAGCAAAAACCAGAAATCCTTATCAAAGACTGGTGCTGCGTTAAGCCAGCAATTCTGTTCGTTATGGCCAAACGGGGTCCCCATCTCTGTTTTCACAGCCTATGGAAAAGGGGAAATTCCAAAAAATACACGGCCTCATATTGTGTCTGTATGGAAGCAACAAACTATTTTTCCTTTGTGCTCACATCACAAAAATCAGTACAGAAGACTTCTGTGACCAAAATGTGTGGAGGTTTCTCCCCATCAATAAGCAAGCAATCAGTTCCGCAGCAGACACCAGCTGGAACCTCCAATTTAATTCCGACACTACCCAACTGGAGATGGCATCAGATCCCACAGTCTGAGGACTCAGTCCTCAAGACAGCCCCCATTTCCGATGCCAATGGGAAGCCACCGGCTATTTTACCTCTGCTTCTGACCAACCCATGCTAAATCAGGTTCCCATACCCCTTCTTTGGATTCCATTAATTTGCTAGCACAGCTCACAGAATTCAAGGAAACACTTTGCTTACATTTACTCATTTACTATGAGGGATATTACAAGGGATACCTATGAAGAGATGCACAAGCTGAGGCTTTTGGGAAAGGAAGGTTGCGGAGCTTCCATGCCCTCCGACGCCACCCTCCAGGAACCGCCACGTGTTCAGCTCTCCGGAAACTATTTGAACCCTGTTCTTTTGGGTTTTTTGGAAACCACGATTGATTAAACCACTGAACATTGGTGATCAACTTAACCTTCAGCCCCTCTCTCCTCCCCAGAGGTTGGTGGTGGGGCTGAAAATCTCAATCCTCTAATCCTGCCTTGGTCTTTCTGGTGACCAGCCCCATCCTGAAGCTACGTAGGGGCTGCCAGGCACCAGTCAACTCAGTTGCATACAAATGACACTTATTACTTAGGAGATTCCAAGGATTTTAGGAGTTATGTGCCAGGAAACAGGGACAAAGACCGAATATATATTTCACAATATCACCAAATCTCAGAAACCAAACTAAGGGGGCCAAGGGAAGTTTGGGCTCCTCTGAGGTGGCCTTGGAGGGCTGTTGAGCAACTCCACCATGTTCTTTCCAGAATATAGGGGCCCCTAAGCCTCTTGGCTTCTACTTTGGGGCTTTAGCTGACAACAGGAAAAGTCTCTTTGTACGTCTTCTTAATAAGATTCAACTGTGTGAGCCTTTTATTTATAATCATTGAGATAAATAGCAGAAGAAATACTAATGGGTTGAAAGTGGAACTAGTGTCAACCTAAAATAATCAAAAGGGTCAGAATTTAGTATTTTTGCTGAGCGCCATGGCACATGCCTTTAATCCCGGCACTTTGGGAGGTCGAGGCAGGTGGACCACCTGAGTTCAGGAGTTTGAGACCAGCCTGGACAACATGGCAAAACCCTGTCTCTACCAAAAATACAAAAAATTAGCTGAGTGTTGTATGCCTGTAGTCCCAGCTACTCAGGAGGCTCAGGTGGGAGAATCACTTGAACCTGGGAGGTGGAGGCTGCAGTGAGTTGAGATTGCACCACTGCAGAGTGAGACCCCATCTCAAAAGCAAAAACAAACAAAAAAAAACTAATTTTTTTTTGGGGGGGTAGAGACGAGGTCACACTATGCTGCCCAGGTTGATCCCAAACTCCTGGCTTTGAGTGATCCTCTTGCCTCAGCATTCCAAAGAACTGGGATTACAGGCATAAGCCACCATGCTTAGCCAGAGTCTAATTTAAAGAGAGTTTATTGAATCATAAAGTTTGAGGAAACACCCAGAAACACCAACTCCAAAGGAATGGAGACAGCATTCCAATGTAGGGAAGTTAAGTTTTCCTTTACAGAGACAGAGGCGTTTTTAGCAGGATTACATTTTTCATACAAGGTTGACTCATGCTTACAGCACTTTGCCTGGTAGTAGGCAGTGTTTTTTGTCGGGGAAAGGTACATTTTGCATTTTTTACAGAGGATGCAATAGTCATGTTTTCTCTCATCTCATCTAAGCAAAGCAGAACAATGAAGAAGAAATTATATAACCAGGGTCATTAATTAAGAAGGCAGGTTTTTGTCCCTGATGTCATTTAATTCTCTCTAGTCATCATACAGAACCAGAAAAATAAGAAATTGAGGAAATCTATAATCTGAGAAACTAATCTATTATATAATCTGAGAAGCTAATCTATAATCTGAGAAGTTATAAACATATATGACTCAGATCACAGCCACATCTCTCTCAAGGTTTAAAGTGTTTTTGGGGTTCCAACAACATTTTTGTTTCATTTTGTTTTGTTTTGAGACAGAGTCTCACTCTGTCGCCCAGGCTGGAGTGCAGTGGCGCGATCTTGGCTCACTGCAACCTCCACCTCTCAGGTTCAAGCTATTCTGCTGCCTCAGCCTCCAGGGTAGCTGGGATCACAGGCACATGCCACTAAGCCTGGCTAATTTTTGTAATTTTGGTACAGACGGGGTTTCACCATGTTGGCCAGGCTGGTCTCAAACTCCTGGCCTCAAGTGATCAACCCACCTTGGCCTCCCAAAATGCTGGGATTACAGGCGTGAGCCAGCACTCCTGCCCCAACAGCTTTTAAATTATATTTATTTTCACGTTTTCTCCCTCCTCTTTTCACTAAGAACTTTGGAAGAGAGCATTGTAGATGAACTCAATAGTTTGGCTTCTTTTATGCTCAGGAATTTAGTCCCATGTCATTAGAAAGTCTAATTCCTAGGATGTCATAGGCCACTGGGAAGGGAGGAATGGACAAACTATGAAGCTGATGGAGTATTAGCCAAATTTAAAGCAACATGAAGGAAGTGACTTTGTGACCTGAGTCAGGTTACATGAGTATTTCAGTTAATATCATCTTTCAAGTGGCCATTATTTTAGCCTTTCTAGTCACATTGACTCAATTGTAAAGAAATGTTATTACAGCAGTGTGGACAAAAACAGTACAAAACACAAATGATTATAATTCTCAGAACAAGGAACAGTTTTTGTCACCAAGTTTTCCAAGATCCAAACCAGCTAGTTAGCCAGTTGCTTGGAGAAGATTTTGGATCTGAAAAGTTTGTTATTTGGGTTTTCATATTAGCCATTAATTTAGTGATATTGTTTGATTTATCAGGGATAGAGACACAGTATTTAGTTTTTATGATAGCTCAGGTTCCCCTTGGGTTGCAATAAGTTTGTCTAAAGCTATATAGCTTTGTAATACAGGCTTTTTCATGAGAATAACTTTATTTAATCACAATATTCATGTGGCTATTATTTAGGACATTTTGTGCATGATTGGCTAGGGTCTCTACATGTCAAATGCCACCTTCAATACCCAGTTGGGCAGAAAGATGGCAGCTAAAGGATCATACCAATGGAATACAGAACAAATCCAATGAAACTATAAATGAGGACAGTTTGTGGGGTTGAAAGGGTATGAACTATGTGAGCTCGTGCCCAGGCATAACCCAAAGAACACTGTCCTAACCATCTCAGGGGGTATCACCTTCCAGTGAAACAGTTCATTTAGGAGGCTCAGCCTTCTTCACATGTGAATCCAAGAGTCTATATCTTCTAATTCTGCAGTGTAAGGGTTAGTAAGGAGTACCTGATAAGGTCCATACCACTTTGGTTTAAGTGAGTTCTTTTAAAAATGTCATTTCCAATGGATGAAATCTCCTGGTTGAAGTCTGTGATGCTTGAAATTGTCTACCTGGAGCTCACTGTGAAAAGATTCATTTTCCAATTCATAATTTTTAGTTAATTACATAATAAGGCCATTGTAATGACTAAATATGCCTCCCTTTATTATTAAAGACAAACAATTTCCTAGAGATAATTCCTTATGTAATTCCTTAGATAATAACTAGTGTTTACCAAAAGGTGTTGACCTTAGATTAAGCAGAACCAGAGGAAGAGCTTTTGGCCAAGGAATTTTGAAAGCTTCTGTTTATTTTGCCAGTTAGGTTTTGATCATTCTGTTAGTGCATTTCACAAACAGAAATGACTAGAAATTTTTTTCTTTCCTTCCTTCCTTCCTTTCTTTCTTTTTTTTTTTTTTTTTTCCTGAGACAAGGACTCACCCTGTCACCCAGGCTGGAGTTCAGTGGTGCAATCTCAGCTCACTGCAGCCTTTGACTCCTGGGTTGAAGCGATCTTCCCACCTCAGCCTCCTGAGTAGCTGGGACTATAGGCACACACCACCAAGCCTGTCTAATTTTTGTATTTTTTGCAGAGATGAGGTCTCAGTATATTGCCCAGGCTTGTCTCAAACTCTTGGGCTCAAACAATCCTCCCACCTCAGCCTCCCAAAGTGCTGGGATTACAGGCATGAGCCATCACACCCGGCTGGAATAATTTTTTCTAAGATAATTTTATTCACTTCTAAGGCTGCTGTTTTTCAGCATGGAAATTCTTCTACCCAGTGAGGAATTTCCATGCAAATTATTACCAGAATGTGTTTGTATCCTTGTGATGGTGGCAACCGAATGAAATCTAATTTCCCTACCTGGAAAGGGCCTTAGGGAAAGGAAAATTTCCTTGGGAACTGTGTAATGGCTTCCCCAGGTTACATGTTGGACAAATGTGACAACAATCATGTACTTACGAGCTATAGTCAAAGAAGGTTTCCAAATGTATTGTTTTGAAGCAACTGTTTTGATTAAGCAGGGCTCCAGTGAGTTAGGTCACGTCCATGGGTTAAGAATGATGACTGTATCAGCAGGAAGCATAGGCCCGTAGCTCAGCCCGTACCTTACTTCATCTTTGGGAGAGCATGTTCCCCCTTTACTCTTCCAATTTTCCTGCCCAGATTTTGGAGCTCTGGATTGAGTTAATTTTCTGTCAAATTCAGGTGCTTCTTTAAAAGTTAATATAGATTGCTTTTCCTGTTTAGATGCATTTAGAGCAGCTCTTTTTGCCACCTGATCAGCTAGCTGATTTCCTTGGCTTTCTGGTGTATCTGATTTGGAATGGCCTGGATTTGTAATTATGGCCAGTGATTTTGGTAATAATATAGCCTCTAACAATGGTGGAATGAGGCATCCAGTTTTTTTGACCAGAAGATGTTAAAAATTATCTCTGTTTCCATAGCATTCCAAAATCACGGGCTGCTCCAAAGGCATATCTACTGTCTGTATGAATATTAGCAGTTATTCCTTTTGCCAATTAGCAAGCCCTGATCAATGCAATTAATTTTGCTTGTCAAGTCAAGGTGGTTTCTGGAATGTAAGTACTTTCTATTTCTTCAAAGATACCATAACATAACCTGCATAATAAGTCCTAGATTCATCCTGTAAGTAAGAATTACATGTAAACCAAACATCAGTATTGGTAAGGGGAGCCTTTTGCAGGTCCATCCTAGGAGAGAAAAAAGTTGATCAGTTAAGGCTATGCAATCATGGGGCATTTCATCTGAAGGTGAGGGAGGAGAGTTGTAGGATTCAGACTGTTGCTCCTAGAGATTGCAATATAAGGTGCAGAAAGAAGAACTTCATAAGAAGCCAGTCTATTGGTATTAGTACTAACAGAATAATGATGAGTGTGGTGTGATTTTCTTTTTTCACAAACCCAATGTTTTAGGAGTGGTGTGAATTTAAGATGTTTCCACAGAGAATGGAACAGACAGTGAGCAGAATTCCCATGACCATTTATTCCGTTGTTCTTTCTAACTGAGCAGTGGCATCATTGCCCTTATGCAAGGTGGCAGTCCTTTAGCCACAGGGTCCAGTTGCTGACTGTAGTATCCTATGGGTCTGTTTTGGTCTCCATGTTTTTGTGTCAGATGACCTAAAGTGTTTTTTTGATTTTCATGAACAAATAGTGAAAATGATATATTATAATTCAATTTCCTAGAGCTGGGGTATCTATAAGGCTGTTTTTTGTGATTTTTTTTTTCTTGAGACAGGGTCTTGCTCTGTTGCTCAGGCTAGAATGCAGTGGTGCAATCACAGCTCACTGCAGCCTCAACCTCCTGGGCTCAAGCAATCCTCCCACCTCAGCCTCCCAAGTAGGTGGGACTACAGATGTGTGCCACCACCCCTGGCTAATTTTTGTATGTTTTGGAAAGACAAGGTTTCACCATGTTTTCTAGGTTGAGAACTCTTGGCCTCAGGTGATCCACTCATCTCAGTTTCCCAAAGTGTTGGGATTACAGGCATGAGTCACCACACCTGATCGTTATAATGCTCTTTTTGATCTCTTCCAATGTTAACTGATTTTTCCTCAGTCCACTCCAGGGTGCCGGACTTGTCTTGTTTTAAAGAGTATATAAAGGTTGAATTTTTAGGGAGAAGTTTGGAACTCAATTCCTACAGTATCCTTCTGACCCAGAAATCCCTTTGGTTGTTTTTTAAGTTATGGGGGTAGGGAAAGCCAATATTTTTTTATACTGCCTGGATGGATGAAAAGACCTTCCTTTGATATTAAATGACCTAAGTATCTTATTTGTTTTTCTCTAAACTGAAATCTTTCTTTTGAGGTCTGTGTCCCTTTAAGCTCATTGTTGTAAAAAGTGCAGCCCATCATCTATAGAGGCTTTGCCTAGCCTCTGAGCAGAGGAGTAAATCATCTACATATTGTGAAAAGTGTGTTGGGATCTCAATGTATCCCTGGAGCAGGATGTCCATGTGTATTGTCTGTTTTCTCAAGTGAAAATGAAAACAAATTGACTGTCTTTATCCACAGAAGTACTAAAGAACACACTACATAAATCTATTACAGTAAAGAACGTGCCTTTGGTAAGAATGGCATCAACATGTATGGAGGTTTAGCACTCCTGGATAATGAGGAATGACTATGTTGTTAATTGTTCTCAGATCCTATACAAACTTCTATCCTCTACCATTTAGTTTCCTTACAGGAAGGATTGGAGTATTACATGTACCTCTTTTTATATAGCCTGGAACTACAGGTTTTATTCCTATTATAGCTTCTACTTTTAAAGGGTACTGGCCAGATGTGATGGCTCATGCCTGTGATCCTAATACTTTGGGAGGCCAAGGCAGGTGGATTGCATGAGCTCAGGAGTTTGAGACCAGCCTGGGCAACATGGCGAAACCCCATCTCTACAAAAAATACAAAAATTTAACTAGGCATGGTGTTGTGCACCTGGGGTCCCAGCTACTGAAGAAGCTGAAGTGGCAGGATTGCTTGAGCCCAGGAGGCAGAGGTTCCAGTGAGCACAGATCACATCACTGCACTCTAGCCTGGGTGACAGAGTGACACCCTGGCTCAAAAAAAGAACAGTTCACAGTTAAGTTACATAAACATCTGTTAAACTTAACAAAGTCACTCAATCCATATATGATGAATTTAAAATACTTTAAAAATAAATAAATAGAGGGTATTGCTTAAGGTTTGGAAGGTGTTTTGATGGATCTATTTGAACTTTGATTGGGGAAGCCAAGATGATTATTCCAATATCAGCAGAAGATTTTAACCACAATTGATCAGGTACTACCTTTAGCAGGTTTTGTAATTTTCATTACTCAATAATTCAGTGTCTACTATGGCAATATAGATTGCAATTAAATTAGATTTTGAAAAACTTTTTATGTCCAGTAACTCAGTTTTATCATCTAATTCTAAATACATTTTCCCTTTTTGGGAGAAAGAAGTGTATTATATAATTTTAAGTCTTTTTCTATAAGATGGATGGGAGCTGATTCAACCAAAAGGAAAACATAAGTCCCTTGTAAGTGACGTAGCTGAAAAGCTACAGGCTGAGATTTATAAACCAATACAGGAGTATTTGTGACACCCACCATTTGAATTTTTTGTTTACTCCAAGGAATGAATCTTGTAATAAGGTGAGATTTATTACAGATAATGTGGCTCCAGTGTCAACAAAAGCTTGTGTTCATACTCCATTTAAAATAATTATTTTTCCCAAAGTAGAGCCAGGGTCATAAGCACAAATATTTAATTTAAATTTCCTGAGAAAACCAATGTCCTGGTCCTGGTGAGAATCAGGAAATTCCTGAACTATGTCTTTAAGTTTTACCTTTGACCATGATTGAGAAACTAGGGTAGGTTCTCCCCTACCAGACACTGGCTGTTTGAGAAATGGAGCTGGAACAGTAGAAGCAGAAGGAGGAGGAGGTAGATCTGGGCAAGGTACTAAAGGATAAAGAGAAGGAGAAGATAATAAAGGATAATAAAGAATAAAGAGACAGAGGAGCTGAGGGAGGAGGATAAATTTCAGCAGTCTTTAATTCAGAATTTTTTAAGACAACTTTTTGTTCTCTTGTAAAGAAATAACTTTATTATAACCTCTTTAGAAGCTTCCAAGCCTCATTGAAAATAACTCTCCCAATTATTTTGTTTTATCTTATAGCTGACTTTTTCTCATTGAGCACACAATTAAATTAGTTTAGGCATTTCAAAGGTACTACATTTTGTCCATTGCAAATGTTAGGATTTTCTTGGGTCAAGTAAGACCATTTTTCCAAATATTGACAGGAGGTGGTGCCATAAGTATTGTACATAAATCCAGCTGGAGTTTCTAAAGATGGATTCTTTCTTAAAGAGGACTCAGTTTTAGATGGAAGATGGACCATAATTTGGATTTTCTTTTTAAGTGACCAAAGACTCAAAGAGAAAGATGTCTTATTTTTTAATTTTTAAATTTTATTTATATGTTTATTTTGAGATGAAGTCTCTCTCTGTCACCCAGGCTGGAGTACAGTTGCGCTATCTCAGCTCACTGCAACCTCCGCCTTCCAGGTTGAAATGATTCTCCTGCCTCAGCCTCCCAAGTAGCTGGGATTACAGGTGCCCACCACTATACCTTGCTAATTTTTGTATTTTTAGTAGAGGCAGGGTTTCACCACGATGGCCAGGCTAGTATCAAACTCCTCATGTTGGGCTCCTTCCCCCTCGGCATCCCAAAATGCTGGCATTACAGGCGTGAGCCACCGTGCCCAGCTGGGAAAGATGTTTTGGATCTGGTATTCTGCTTAACAGGGATTACTCCTCGAGGTGTCACCCATGAGTCACTTCTACTCTCTTATGTGTTTCAGTGAAACCCAGACATTTCTGGAGGCTTAGGGCCCTGGGATACCAACCCTTCATGTATGCCCAACAGGTTAATCAGATTTCCCTGTATGTTCTTCCTTGGGGTTTCCCTGTAGGACCCTTACACAGCAGAAGCTATGACCTCTGACAGTCCTGTGTGGCCTCAGTTACCTAAGGTGCCTTTCAGCTGGGAGGAACAGTGGCCGTTATTTAGGACTTTCTCAGGTCAAGTAAATCACATCCTCAGACAAAGCCTTTAATGAATTTTTGGTCACTCAGAAAGAAAATCTAAATGGCAATTTTAACCCAGCTCCAAAACCTGGTCAGTTTAAAACTGCACATTTAGCTTAAGCCACAAGCATTCACTTTCTCTTTTTAAAAAGAAACTGCTTTCTATTTAACCAATTTTTTTTGAGACAGAATCTCACTCTGTCACCCAGGCTGGACAGTGGAGTACAGTGTGTCAGCTCCCTGCAATCTCCACCTACTGGGTTCATGCAATTCTCGTACCTCAGCCTCCCAAGTAGCAGGGACCACAGACATGCACCATCACGTTCAGCTAATGCTTTGTATTTTTAGTAGAGATTGGGTTTCACCATGTTGGCCAAGCTGGTCTTCAACTCCTGGCCTCAAGTGATCCAACCGCCTCAGCCTCCCAAAGTGCTGGGATTACAGGTGTGAGCCACTGCACCCAGCCCCAAATTTTGAATGGGAGAAAAGTTGCAAACTTTAGCAAGCAAAACAGACAAAATCTTAACCTCAAAAGAAAGTGAAACTACAAACTTGCAAATAACAGAATCTCTAGAGAAATAACAATAAAGTGACTACCTCAAAGCCAAAAGTTGAGCTTCAGTTCTAGCTCTGTTGAGTGTGGAATTGGGTTGCTTGAATAAAGTCTGAATCTCAGCCAGAACTAGGAAGATATGAAACCTGAGAGAAGTCTTACCAGAGACCCCCGCCAGCTCTGATGAGGTCAGACGAGTAAAAGCCACTCATGCTGGTACTAAATCTCCGAATGCCAGCAAAGCAACGAGGATCGCACGAGGCTTGTTTCAGGTCCTATCTGCAGTTGCCAAAATGTCAACTTAAAATAATCAAAAGGATCAGAGTCTAATTTAAAGAGAGTTTATTCAAATACAAAGTTTGAGGATGGCCCACTCAGGAGCATCAACTGCGAAGAGATGGAGGCAGTGTTCTGAAGTAGAGAAATTAGGGTTTCATTTATAGATGCAGAGACAGAGATGTTTTTAGCAGGATTACAACATTTTTCATATGAAGTTGGCACATACTTCCAGCAATTTGATTGATGATAGGCAATGCATCCTTTTTGGAAAGGGTACATTTAGCATTTTGAATATAATGGGTGTAACAGTCATGGGTTTTCTGTCATCTGGTTTAGGCAAAGTAGGACAACAAAGGGGAAGTTAATCTATAACAAGAGTCATTAATTAAGAAGGCAGGAGGCTTTTGTCCCTGATATAATTTAATTCTCTCTAGTCATTGTACAGAACAAAAAAATAAGAAAACAAGTTAATCTATAATCTGAGAAACAGAAGTTGGAACCATATGTGACTAAGATCACATTCACATTTCTCTTAAGGTTTGAAGTGGGTTTTTTTGGGTTCCAACAGCTTTTAAATTATATTTATTTTCACACAAGAAAGCAGGAGGGATGGGACCAGAAACTGCCTTTCAGTGCTATTTCATTTTTAAAGAATGTGCTTGCATCAAGTAGATCACAAATTAAAACCACAACAAACCCAGAAACTCCCTTGTCCTGACAGGAGTTCTCATGCATCAATCTCATCATGTGGTGACTCGCCCCTGTCCCCTGCTGGGGACACAGAGTCCTTGGCGGGGGCGCATGTCTCTTCACACTCGTGTGAAATCGTAGGCTTCTGGTCCTTGGGGAGAAGCTGTGAAGTTTTTGCTACCAGAACTAGGATTCTAGGAGGCTTTTAGATGACCAGGAAGAGGCTGAGACTCCTGGTGGGGACTCCTGCTGGGAAGTTTCTGGACCACAGCCCTCTTGGTATGAAGAGAGCAGAGGACAGGACCAGGCTAGAGCATCTGCACTCTGGAGCTGGAAATGGGGCCCAGCTCTGGGCCTCCACTCTCAGTGTCAAATGTAGGGGCAGCCCCAAGCATTGGAAGTCGCCCTGCACCCTGGCAGCTGCTTCTTGGGCTCTGTCTCCCATGCCGTGCTCTCTGCCCCAACCTCCTAGGAAGGCCCAGCAGCTTCCCACCAGGCCTTCAGCAAAGACTGCTCCTGTCCCTCCAGTGAAACACTGCCCCAAAAGTCACTTGCCCACTCAGGCTGTGCCGTGGGGGCAGCTGCCACACTCTGGGGTTCCTTGGTCTCCCAAGGAGTCCCCACCCTCACAGAGTGTTGGTCAGCTCTTCTGGCTCTGAGGAATTGCAGTTTACCTAAGGAAATGGGAAGGCCAGAGTTGCAGCCAGGTGCCGGGGCTTAGGGGTCTGGATGGACAGGTGAGGCCTCAAGGACCAGGTAGTTCTTTCAGACTCAGGCTGGCTTGGGGGACCCAGGCAGAGTGAACAACCAGGCCTGCAGGGGGCCAGGGACTTGGTGCAGGGCAGAGCCTAGGAAGGAGCAGCTCATAAAACCCCCAGGCAGTTCCTGGGGAGAGCCAGAGGACTCTATCCCCACCGTTGCTGCCCTAATCATGGCTTTGAACACCCCTCATCTCATTGCTCATAGCTCTTAACTTTTTCTGTGCCAGGAACCCCTTTGGAGTCCTGTGCAGCCTATAGAGTCCTTTTTAGAGGTGCTCTTATTTTATTATATTTTTAAATCTTTTTATTGAGACAAGGTCTTGCTCTGTCACCCAGGCTAGGTTGCATTGGTGCATTGGCATGATCACGACTCACTGCAGCCTCAACCTCTCAGGCTTGAGCAATCCTCCCATCTCAGCCTCCCAAGTAGCTGAGACCACAGGCATGTGCCACTATACCCAGATAATTTTCTGTAGAGATGGGGTCTCACTATGTTGCCCAGGCTGGTCTCGAACTCCTGGCCTCAAGTAATCTTCTCACCTCAGCTTCTCAAAGTGCTGGAATTGCAGGCATGTGCCACTGCACCCAACCCCAGAAGTGCTCTTTTTTTTTTTTTTTTTTTGAACTAGAGTTTTGCTCTGTTGCCCAGGCTGGGGGCAATGGCGCAATCTCGGCTCACTGCAACCTCTGCCTCCCAGGTTCCAGCAATTCTCCTGCCTCAGCCTCCCTGGTAGCTGGGATTACAAGCATGCGCCACCACACCTGCCTTAATTTTTGTATTTTTAGTAGAGACAGGGTTTCACCATGTTGGCTAGGCTGGTCTTGAACTCCTGACCTCAGGTGATCTGCCCACCTTGGCCTCCCAAGGTGCTGGGATTACAAGAGTGAGCCTCCGCGCTGGGCCTAGGAGTGCTTTTAATGCGTAAGATAAAATACATAGGATTGTAAAGTAAGCCAGTGACATTAAACTGTTGTTACCAAAATATTAAACAATAAATTTGTAATCAGGTAAACTATGTGCTTCTTCATTTAATGAACCAACCACAGAATCTGGCGGCAGGTCTACGCAGGATTGTGATTTTGATGTAGTGATGAACAAAACCAATATTGCAAGTTATCTGCAGCAACTCTGCTGTCATATAGAAGGAGTGATGATTCCCAATGGTCACAAAGCCCCAGGAAGACTACTGTGGGGGTTTTGCCCTTGTTCATAATGGAGGGAAAACCTACATTTCAGCTAGAGGTTACTGCCCTGAATTCTACCCACAGACCCCAGGCCTCCTGGCCCCTCCTATCTCATAGCTTCAGCTCTTATGCCTGTCTGCCCTCGGCACCAGGTGCCTGGATCCTTCATCACCACTGCTTCCCCACACTCTTCAGAGGCTTAGGTCCTGGCAGAGGCCTGAATCCAGCTTGGGCCCCCACCCTGCAGGTCGTAGAAGAGGGGAGAGTTTGCTCCCTGGCCCAGCCACAAAATAACAACAACATCCAGAGCAGAGATGGAGCTAGGAGCCGGGGGAGCTGGAGCGAATGAGGCGGAGGAATGGGAAACACATGTGGATCCATGTAGGTATGTGGCTGAGGCTGGCTATGGCTTTGTGTTACACTGCATTTTTAAAAAATCCCAGTGTTTAGGCTATATCCCAGGCCAACTAAATCGGAGTCTCTGGGGGTGGGCTATCATTAATAATCCAGGCGGCATAACTTTTTTAATTCCCAGGTAATCATCTGGGGGGTGTGCTGTGCAAACATGGAAGCCCCATGGGCACCAGGATGTTGCCTGTCCTGCCTCAGCAGCCCCTGTAAGATTGGAGCCTGGATTCTGGGTGAGGCATAAGCTGAGTACTCTGCATGCCTTCTTATGAAGCCACTCGGAAGCCCTGAGAGGCAGGTATTAGTATCTCCATTCTACGGGTGAGGAAACTGAATCTTGGAGCTGTGTGGTTCCTTGTCACTTCCCAGTTCCCTGTAGCAAATATTGGCAAGGCTGGGATGCCCACCGAGGTTGACCTGATCGTGTTGGGCCTGATGGGAGATGGAATTTACACTGTTTTTACAGCTTGGGGAGTTTGCTTGCAGTGCTGACATGTCTACAGTCACAAATTCGAATGCAGAGTTTTCTTTTTTTCTTTTTTTTTTTTTTTTTGAGACAGAGTCTCACTCTGTCGCCCAGGCTGGAGTGCAGTGACTTGATCTTGGCTCACTGCAACCTCTGCCTCCTGGGTTCAAGCAATTCTCTGGCCTCAGCCTCCCAAGTAGCTAGGACTAGAGGTGCCACCACCATGCCCGGCTAATTTTTGTATTTTTAGTAGAGACAGGGTTTTGCCATGTTGGCAAGGCTGGTCTCAAATTCCTGACCTCAGGCAATCCACTCACCTCAGCCTCCCAAAGTGTTGGGATTACAGGCGTGAGCCACCGCATCTGGCCCAAATGCAGGGTTTTCATTCAGACTCTTGTGGTGCCACTCATGCACTGCTGAGATCAGCGAGGGGTTGTGGGGCAGTCACAGAACAGACCCAGAGACACATCTCTATGCCTGAATGGGTCTTCACTAAGAACATCTCTGATGTTTCCTGTAGATTTCCATCCTGCTTCATTTGTCTTTTACACTTCTCCTCTCTGCGAGGTCAGAAATTGCCTTGGGCTATCGTAAATCAAAGTGGGTGACTCTATCCCTCAGACAAATGCCCCACTTTGTAGGGAATGACTCAGACACTTGATTATGATCAGCTATAATATTTTGAGAAAGAAAAGTGCGGTTCCAACAAGTTACCAAAAGGGCAGGAAAGTATATAATCCATGGGTCTCTGTGCCTCTCTCTGTGTACCCCAAATTAGAGGGCTCTGTGTGCAAACAAGGACATGTCAAAGGTGCTAAGGAAAGAATTTCTTTTTAAAAATCCAGTAGCAAGCTCTCGATTTCTGCTGGGTGTGCCCAAAGCATGTGAAATACAGGACCACCCACTGGCTGGGGTTTTTTTTTACATCCAAATGCCTCTCTCGGGAGTAGTAAATTTTCACATAAAAGTTTGTTCTTTTAGCCTTCCTCATGTTTTCCTCAGCCATTCTGTTTCCTAATTCCTCTCTCTCACCTGATCCCCTCAAAAGAAGCCTCCAGCAAAAGGAGGAACAGGCCATTCTGGGGCATGGCTGTGTCACCCCTCTCCATTCTACATTAGGCTCGCCTTGGGTGGCCATGGTGTCTTAGGCAAACCGGAGTGTGGCTCAGTGCTGTAGGAGTTTAATGAATGCACGGCACTCAGATGGGTATGACGTTGGAGCCCCCCAGACTGGACTCGCTGAGATGATACATGCAAACTTGGCAGGCCGGGCACTGGGGACAGCCCTGAGCCTCCGGGATCAGCACCCCAGGCCAGGAGATGTGGGTGCCATCAGCGAGAAATCAGGTGGTAGCACAGGTACTCCCGTCAGGACAGGAAATGGCCTCTCCATGCTGTGCAGACTCTATCCATCATCAGCCCTCCTTGGAGCCGTGGCTCTGTCCCTGCTGGTTTCCTTTGGCCAGTATAGGCTGCACAGGGGGGAACGCAGTGGGAGCACTCCTGAGTGGGAGTGAGGGGAGGGAGGAGCCATGGAGAGCAGGGTGGGCCACGGGGACTGACAAGACCTCAGAACATTAGCAGGGCTACTGGGTCATTTGGCTGGCTCCCAGCGGGCAGGCCCACACTTAGGAGGCGGGGGTGGTGTCCCCAGGCCAGGGGCAGGTAAAAGGGCAGAGCTGCACCTGGGGTTCTATGGTATAAGGCAGCAGAAAAGTAAGAGTTTTCCAAGTTTCTGTGTTTTTAACTCCTCCCCTCAAGCCATAGGGAAGAGTGTCCCATCCCGAAAGGGTTGGCCAGCTTCCAGAGGAGGGAGGGAGGCCCCAAGTGAGCTCCTGGCCAGATGCCTACAGGACTATGCTTGCTAAGACATTTAATATTCCCCTGGTAACAGCTCCTGGGCGTTTCCTAGGAGTCTCTGAATAACCAGATAGCCTCTTCCAGCCCCGGGATGAGGAAACCAATCCCCAGAAGTGGACAGGATGGGCATGGCATGGGAGGGGCATAGCAGTGTTGCTTGCTGGGCTGGGCTGGGCTGGGCCAGAGGGCAGGGAGCCCTGTCTACTCTCTGGACAGTCAGTGCTGTGGCCAGAAATACAGAAATGCAGGGGCCAGGAGCCTCCAGGGCACCTAGCTTTTCTATCAGCTCTTCTTGCAAAGGCTTTCAGAAAATATCTACAGGGGACAGGAATAATGGGGCCCATAGGCCCATAAGTAAAGTCAGCATCCGTCGGGGGTTGTGGGCAGTGGCAGGACAGCTGGTTGATTCCAGTCCCCCAGAGCATGGTTATGCGTCTGCCAAGGGCCCACTACTGAATCGTTTCTAAATAGCATACTTCCTGTCCCTGCTGCCCTGGCCTGGACCTCGACCCTCTCTGCAGCCCCAGGGCAGCTCTCGGGCCTCCTGCTCTTGTGGCCCTGCTACTCCCCTGAGGATGAGGGGCTAGAAAGCTTTTCCCACCTCCAGCCATGCCAGCGAGGTGTGAAGAGCAGGCGGCAGTCAGTGCGGAGGTGTGGGCCAGGGCGACACGTACTACTGTGCACACTCAGCCCTCTGCGTCTCCCTGGAGCAACGAGGGGCAGAGCAGAGGTGATGGGCCATAGACTCCTAGGCCAGGCTGAGCAGAAGGGTGGCTCAGGCTGATCCAGAGCCTGGCCAGGCAGAGAGCCGCCAAATGCTGCCCAGCCAAGAGCCCCTGTGGGTTACATGGGAGGGCTGACCTACAGGCCATGGGCCGGGGACACACCATCTACTGGCTACGGTGGCAGATGGGGGTGGGTGGAAGGAAGGACATCACGTCTGCAGTGACAGCTGTCGTGTGCTCCATCAACCTTGCCCTGCTCTGCTCTCTGTTGCGGGAAACACATCTCCCCAGTTTCCTTCCCAGGCTTGTGGGTAGGCCTGACCATGGTGGGGCTCCTGCAGAAGATGGGAGGCCAGAGCGGGCAGTGAGGGCCCCATGCCCCTGCTCTGCTCACCGCACACCTCTCCAGCAGCCAGCCATGCCTCCTCATGAGTGCCCTGCTTTGGTGGCACCCAGCTGGAGAGGCCCAGCCCCTGGAATCACAGCAGCCCCTTCCTCCTGTGGTCCTTCCAGCCTTGGCCACAGCAGTGCGCTCCACTGGCGCTAATCTCTGGGGTGCCTCAGTGTCCCCTCAGATCGGCTCTTCCACCACCTGTTACCAACCACCGAAGTCCTCCCAAGCATCTACACCATCACCTCTCCCATTTAACATGAGGATAGACACACCTCGTGCGTCCACACCTGAGTCACAGGTCTGGGAAGTCTGAGTTTCTAACAAGCTGCAGGAGGGGTGCACATCAGCAGCCAGTCCTCCAGCCACACTTTGAGAAGCAAGGACCAGGGAGATTTTGGATTTCCTGATACAATGTGTCAGGTGCTCTACTAGGCAGTGGGTCTCAAAGGTGAACAAATCCGACCTGTTTGCATTCCAAGGAGGGAGACAGACATGGTCAGATGACAATCACTGCAAATGACACTATCACTATCCATAGATGCTCCGAGGGATGGACAGGAGGAGGTGAACAGCTGGGCCCTTGGCAGTCTGGGGGAGGTGGTATTTGAGTTGAGACCCAGAGCAGGGGACAGGCGAAGGTTTCAGGAGCAGTGTGTGAGCAGAGGCTGGGTGACCAGAGGAGCTGTGTGCCTTCGGTGGTCTGAAAGGAGGCCAGCCTGGTCTCCAGGCACGGAGTTAGGCAGATTCAGTGGCTCCTCCTCTCTCAGCAAGAGAAGACTCACCTGAACTCAGCTCCCCAAGGTATCAGGCCTCCTCCTCCCGCAAGGCCTAATCCAGCTAATCCAGCCTAATCCAGCAAGGTCTCCAGGTGCTGGCAGCTGGAGCTCTCAGACACCTCCCCAATCAGCTGGCAGTCACACCCAGACTGCCTGGCGCCTGAGCTCGGCTGCTTGTCCCACAAACAAGGCTACTCTGAAGCATGCATGGAAAAGGGGTAGGAGCAAGGGCAGGTCCCTGGGGACACTGAGTCCCATGCAGTGACAGCAGCCTTGCCCATGCACGCATAGAGGAAATGGCGTGCCTCTTCTTGCTGAGCCTCGGTGTACGTGCTTCCCCCTAAAGCCCACTTCTTATCCCCACATACCAGGTGATGTAGTACCTCCCTCCACCCGCCTCGCCACGTTTGGGCTCTGTCTCTGTCTTAAGAGCTGTGGAAGCCACCAAAGGGTTAAGTGTGGGATTATGTGGAATTTGTGTTTCCACCTGCCTTTAGGGCTGCAGCAGGAAGCAATGGCTGGAAGGGAGGAACCAGAGCAAAGTGGGGCCACGGAAGGGGAGATGTGGCTGGCTACCTTAGCCCCACTATCAGTGCAGAGGTCCCTGGGACCATCGGCAAACCCGGCACCAAGCACTGAGGTCAGCCTGCCCCCGGGAATGGCACCGGGGGAGGAGGAGATGCCCAGGACAGTCTCCAAGGGAGTGGGCACCAGCCAGAGTTGGGACTGGGAGGACTCTGAGGACCCCTTCCACACTTTTCCCTGCGTTGAGATTCTTGGATGGCACAGGCCCATGAGACCATCAACAATCCCAGGTCTCAAGAGGCCGGGCCCCACCCTGAGCCAAGCTTGCAGAGGAGGAGGAGAAGTGCTGAGGGAAGGTGAGCACAGCCAGGCACCCAGGAAGACAGGAGCCACCTGGTCGGAGGGGAGTGATGGAAGGTCAGGGTTCCCACCCATCAGACCACAGCTTCCAGCCAGGACAGCTTGGGCAGCAGTAGTCATAGGAGACATCTGGAGGCTGAGGCTTCCCACGCGGCCCTCCTGGCTCCATTGGATGGCAGGCTCCGGGCAGACGAGCTGCCAGGTGGGTGTGGGATGCAAAGGTTTGGAGCAAGAGCGCCATGGGGAGCCTCCCCAGTGGGACAGAAGCACAGGAGTGAGGGGGTTGGGCCCTGAGGAGATCTCAGTGTCACCCGCAACGGCTGCAGTGCACGGCCCATGGAGAAAGGACATTGTCAGGTGAGACGTGGGCTTCCAAAGGCCCCAGGCTGGGGGTTCCGAGTCCTCTGATCTTTCCCTGAGGTGCTCCTTTGAGGCCTGTGGCACCCTGGGTATGTGGATTCCCGCCTCATGTGTCCACCTGACAAGCACTTCTCCCCTGGACTCCTGTGCCTGCTCCATCACCTGCACCCTCTCTTAATTAGCAGGTTGGAGAGTGGGGTCCACATTGAATGGGACGTTGTGTTGACTCAGAATTGCTCCCAGCTGTGAGGAATTGTTAAACCCCTACATTAAAACGCAAGCAGCTGGCATTGAGCCTAGGGACAGAAAGAAAAGCCGGCCCCTCAGCCTCACCCTGCCCCCAGGGTGGCCTCTGTGAGCCAAAGCCCTGAAGTGGAAGAGCCTCAGGAGGAAGGCAGTCTGAGCCATGGGCTGGCAGCTGCAGGAAGTACAGCTCCCGCTCCCAGTGAGGCTGCTCCCACTTCTCCTGCTCAAACCTGGGGCTCCAGGAGAACTGTTTGTAAAGACTGGGGGAACTTCTGGAAGAGGAGTGATATCTCTGTCCACTCCAGGGCTCCAACACTCCCAGCACTGTGCCAGGACATGGCCCCCACTTAGGATGACCGCTGCCCGGTCGGGCTCCCCTAAACGCAGCCTCTGTGGCAGGCCTAGCCCGAGCAGCCCTCCCTGGAAGCCGTGTGTTCAGCTTCCCTTCTCTCCAGCTCCTGCTGCCTCCTCTAAGACAGGGCAAGGGGCAGGCCCGGGGTCCCCTCCACTTCTGACATCCAGTCAACTTGGATCAGGCCTGCAGGCCTGGGTGAGTTCCTGGGACTCTCCCAATAAGGTTTTAAAAAATCTTTATACTTTAAAAATTTCTGCCGGGCCCAGTGGCTCACGCCTGTAATCCTGGCACTTTGGGAAGCCGAGGTGGGTGGATCACCTGAGGTCAGGAGTTCGAGACTAGCCTGGCCAACATGGTGAACTCCTGCCTCTGCTAAATATACAAAAATTAGCCAGGTGTGGTGGCGAGTGCCTGTAATCCCAGCTACTCGGGAGGCTGAGGCAGGAGAATTGCTTGGACCTGGGAGGCGGAAGTTGCAGTGAGCTGAGATTGCACCATTGCACTCCAGGCTGGGTGACAGAGCAAGACTGTCTCAAAAAAAATAAAAATAAAAAAATAAAACTTTCTTATCAAAAAACAAGCAAAAGCCGCCTCGTGATCTGATCTCACCCTACTGCTACATCCTCCTTGTGTCTCCATCTGTGAAAGGGTGACCAGCCTTGGTTCTATGCAGGGTGACTGTGAAAATGCCATGGCTCATGGGGGCCAAACATGGTGGTAGGGCCCACTGTGACAAGGGTGAGGCTGGGCTGCACAGGCTCAGCTGCCCACAAACAGCTCTGGGGGCTCTTGGGATGGCTGAGGCTGCTCTTGATGAGCTCAGGGAAGAAACACAACAGAGACTGGTCAAAGGAGAGGACACAGCCTTCTGCCCAATGTCCAAGAGCCCGAGCCCAGGAATCTCCCTTGAAACACACACTCTCACACACACTCTCACACACACACATGCTCTCACTCACTCACACTCACACACACTCACATGCACACACACTCACACATTGACACCACTGTCAGCTCAGAAATCTCCCTTGAAACACACACACTCACACACATACACATTCACACCACCATCATCCCAGAAATCTCCCTTGAAACACATACACACTCACACACACACACACTCACACACATTCCCAACACCATCCCAGAAATCTTCCTTGAAACACACACACTCACGAACCCTCACACACACACACACACACACGCACACATTCATGACACCATCCCAGAAATCTCCCTTGAAACACATACACACTCACATACACATTTACGCCATCATCCCAGAAGTCTCCTTTGAAACACACACTTTCACACACTCACACACACACACTCACACACACTCACATTCACACCACCATCATCCAGAAATCTCCCTTGAAACACACACACTCACACACACATTCATGCCACCATCATTCCAGAAGTCTCCCTTGAAACACACACACACACACACACACACTCACACATACACATTCACGCCACCATCATCAGACCTTCGTAGATAGACACCCAGAGACCTTGGTCTGAGTGAGCTGGCGGCATGGAGCGACTGAGCATGTGCAGCTCCCACATCGCTATATAAAGATGGGGATGAACTCTGTGGCTGTGAGTCACCATAACTGCGACACTCACTCATTTGCGCTTCACCAGACACAGAGCAACCGCCAGCCCCAAGAGCAGCTCCAGGCTGGATCTGCGCCGGACACAGGAGAAAGCAGCGGGTAGGCTAAGCAGGGGTGCTGAGGATGGAGGAAAGTTGGGAGGCTGAGCACAGCTGAAGTCCTGAGCTCCCTGTGCCCTTGACTTCTCTGTGGGCTCGAGCAAGGACCATCCCAACTCAGGATGAACCCTCCTTCGGGGCCAAGAGTCCCGCCCAGCCCAACCCAAGAGCCCAGCTGCATGGCCACCCCAGCACCACCCAGCTGGTGGGACAGCTCCCAGAGCAGCATCTCCAGCCTGGGCCGGCTTCCATCCATCAGTCCCACAGTAAGCCTGGGCGAGCATGTGCATGCACAGAGCCTTCCCTGACCCCTTCCTGGTCCCCTCCTGGCCACACACAGGGGCTTTGACAGGGAGATAGAAAAGGTCTGAACTCTGCTGTGGGGCCTTGAGCCATTACTGGACCTCTCTGAGCCCGCCCCTGATAAACAGGCTGATAGAGGAGGGTGCAGGCAATGTCCTTCCTCATGGAGAGCATTCAAGGAACAGAAATGCCAGCCCTGAGGACAAGGGGCTGGAATGGCCAGACCTGTCCTTGGCTGCACTCATTCCTTTCAGAGGTTGCTCGGATGCCCCATGGAGCCCTCCAGGGAGGAGGGCACACCCTGGGCCTCTGGATCTGCCAAGCCCACAGTGAAGCCTTGGGTGCCTTCTGCCACCTCCATCATCCTAGCCCAGGCCCAGGGCCATATTCCATCAACACCACTGCTACCTGGGGAAGGCCGAGGGCACCCTCAGGACCTGGGGATGCTGGCCCAGGTGCTGGACAGGATGGGAAGGCTCCGGTAGCTATAGGGGCCACTGCGGCAGGACAGAGACCAAGCCACCCTCTCTTCCCCAGAAAGGGGTTAGGGTGGGAGGAGTCTTTAAATCCCTTTGTCCTGACCTGATATGGTCATGACCTCCCTTCAGTGACCCTGGGAGGCCTAAGCTTTCTTTCTAAAGGGAATTCCCTTCATTTTCATGCCAGGCATCAAGGTTAGCTGTACCCAGCTATGCTATTGGGCAATGCAGCTTCTCCTCTAAGGCTCAGTAGGGGACGGGACTCTTGAGAGGGGCTCCACCCGACTCACCACCCCAGCGTCTAGAGGCCTCAAAAACTGTCTTGGGCCCTTGGGCTGGAGTCCATACTGCAGGCAGGGATGCACCCAGGAGTTGGCTCTGTCTTCTCCCTAAGGAAAGATAGGGTGACCAGGGCCATGTCCCTGCTTGCCAGTCACATGTCTGTCTGTCCTACCAGCCTCCAGCAGGTGATCTGAGCCCACTCCTAGAAGGCCCCTGTGCCATGTTCTAGGAGCTTGGGCTGGACTTTAGAAAGGACCTGCACTTCCCTTCTGCTTTTGGCCACTTGTGAGCTGTGTGTGCAACTGGCTTTGCCACTCTGAGCCTCAGTTTTCCCACCTGCCCTGTTGAGAATCCTAACTCTTCCTTCTCAGGACTATTTGAAGGTGACAAGCGATAACATGATTCCCTCGTTTCTCTGTCTCTCCGCAGGCACCTGGGACTTGGGCTGCTGCCTGGGTCCCCCTCCCCACGGTTGATGTTCCAGACCATGCCCACTATACCCTGGGCACAGTGATCTTGCTGGTGGGACTCACGGGGATGCTGGGCAACCTGACGGTCATCTATACCTTCTGCAGGTGCCTGGTTGGTGGTGCTGGGCCCAGGGCACTGAGGGTGGCAGCCATGCAGACAGGGAAGAAAATGCAGGCAGGAATGTTGACTCTAGCTCTGGCCAGGGCACTGTTGAGGCTAGGCAAGGAGGGCAGGGCCATGCCTTCGATGATCTCAGGCCCAGACCTTCCTGAAGGTCACGGAAAGGGCCAAAAATGGTCCAGGGAGACTTGACTGACTGGCACTAATTGAGACCCAGGTGCATCCTCTGTGGAGGGTGTGTGTGCCCAGAGTATGTGGGTCTCTGACCATTCTGCCCTGCTCTCAGCGCACCTCTCCGTCACCTGCCCCAGAGAGCATCCTCCCCCTGCGTTGAAGAGCAGCTCTAGGCCAGGCGTGGTGGCTCCCGCCTGTAATCCCAGCACTTTGGGAGGCCAAGGCGAGCAGATCACCTGAGATCAGGGTTCGAGACCAGCCTGGCCAATGTGGTGAAACCCCCGTCTCTACTAAAAATACAAAAATTAGCCAGGTGTGGTGGTGTGTGCCTATAATCCAAGCTGCTTGGGAGGCTGAGGCAGGAAAATCGCCTAAACCTGGGAGGCGGAGTTTGCAGTGAACCGAGATCATGCCACTGCACTCTAGCCTGGGCAACAGAACAAGACTCCATCTCAAAAAAAAAAAAAAAAAAAAAAGAGCAGCCCTGGGGACCAGCATCCTCAAGTCCCTCAAACACCCCTGACACCCACCCCCAGTGTCCCTCTCCATCTGCCCCCCTGCCTGGCTCAGTGGCTGAGACAGGCAGGTGGAGAAGGGAACCCAGGCTGCAGGGCCACACAGCCCCCTGGCTCTCCCACCTGCCAGCTGAAGGACTGGGCACGTCATTTCTCCTCCTTGAGCTCACTTTTCTTTCCGCAAAACAGAGCTGTGCTTCGTGGAGTCACTGTGATGATGCAGTAAGTTCACGGATGTGCGTTGCCCCACAGATGAGCCACTTACTGAGTGCTGTGCACCGGAGCAAGTCACTTCATGAGTGGGAGCATCTTGTCTGGAAAATGGGGACAATGACGCCTCCCTCAGGGTAGATGCAAAGATGGATGATGACAGGAGCCGAGGCTGGTGAAAGTGCCTGGCCCGGCCGTGGTGCACAGCCATCAGCTCCTCTGCCCTTGGCCATCCCCAAGCATGAGGATTACAGAGACAGTGTGCAGGGCAGGGTCCAGGCAGGACGTGACACTGGAGGGAGAGTGGGAGGGGGACCCGCGGAGGAGGGAAGCGTGAGAAGCCATGGGAAAGCACAGTCAGGGCACGCAGGAGGAGGAACCTAGGGAGAAACCTCTAGGGAGACCTTGGCCTAGAGGGACTCAAGGAAACCAGTGAATTGGTCAAGGAAATGGTGTGAGTCGTGCAGAGGAATTTAGAGGGCAAGAAGAGGAAACGGACATGACCCAAGAACCGGCCTGCGCTGGGCCACGCCTCAGGTTTTGGAGAGAAACTGCCCCCTGCTTCTCTCTGAGGGAGCCGTCTTGGGGTCCTCACTCAGCAGACACTGCTGGGTTCAACAGCTGCTTGGCTGGTCCCTGCCCGACAGTGGGATAGCTCTGTGGCCCGGCAGCTCGTGCCTGTTTGCTTGCCCATGTGTGTGTGCATGTGTAAGTGTGTGGCACGTGTGTGCACATGCATACCTGAGGGGTGCGGGAAGCTCTCCATAGCTCTGGAGGTGTCAGGAAGCGCCTCCTAACAGCTTCTGATCCTCCCAGGAGCAGAAGCCTCCGGACACCTGCCAACATGTTCATTATCAACCTCGCGGTCAGCGACTTCCTCATGTCCTTCACCCAGGCCCCTGTCTTCTTCACCAGTAGCCTCTATAAGCAGTGGCTCTTTGGGGAGACAGGTAGATGCTGGGGCTCCCTTTTGCTGGAGGGAGGAGGAGGGTTTTGACCTGGGGATGCCCTCAATGGAGGGTGGCCCAAAG